>NC_000002.12:21903694-22055209 GCF_000001405.40 Homo sapiens | reverse complement strand
CGTATATATGTACGCATATACGTATATACACGTATATATGTACGTATATACGTATATACACGTATATATGTGTGTATATATGTGTATATATATACATATATATGTGTATACATATATACGTGTATATATATGTGTATATATATGTGTATATATATATGTGTATATATATGTGTATATATATGTGTGTGTATATATATATATGTATGTGTATATATATATATATATATATATATATATTTTTTTTTTTTTTTTTAGACCAATAGCATGATCTTGGCTCACTGCAACCCCTAACTCCCAGATTCAAGGGATTCTCCTGCCTAAGCCTCCAGAGTAGCTGGGATTACAAGTGCTGCCACCATGCCTGATTAATTTTTTTGTATTTTTAGTAGAGATGGTTTTTCACCATCTTGGCCAGGCTGGTCTCAAACACCTGACTTTAAGTGATCCTCAAACCTCAGCCTCCCAAAGTGCTGGGATTACAGGCATGAGCCACAGTGCCTGGCCTGTTGTTTATCTTTGTATCCCTGGCATCTAGCAGGTTTCTGGTAATTTACAGGCATTCAAATACATCTGAAAAATAAGTGACGTGCATCACATTGTGAGCTACATGAAGGAGAATGCGTGAATAGCATCCAACCCTGTCACTAGCTTCCAGATGGTTAAATTCTGGAGGACATAATATTTTACAAAGCTCAAAGGATGTGACTCAGGCTGCAGTGAAGGTCTGTCTCTCATTGGAACTGAATACTTTCTCTCAGAGCTAATCAAACAGAATTTTTCCATTTTTCCTAAAAAAAAGAAAAAAAATTCATGCCTGGCAAAACATCAACTAAAATAATCATTTGTCTTCATCACCAATAGAAATTTAGAGTTTGAAATAGAGAATAACTGAGTTGCAAGGCTATGTTTTATCTGAGTTTGAAGCAAATAATAAGCAGTAATATTATAATACTGTATTGTATATGTTCTATGTTATAGTTCGTATTTTTTCTTTTCCTTTTGTATTTCCTGTTTACCATTTTGTCTTCCTTTTCACTGCCTAAGTACCTTCTTGTGATTGAAGAAATAGCTACAAGACAAAATACAAGCAATGTTGCTCAGTGTAAAAGAGAGGACTAGAATGATTGACACTGTAAAGGTTAAATTATTAAGTGCTTATTCTGTACCAGGCCTGATACGGTTAGGCTTTGTGTCCCCATCCAAATCTCATCTTGAATTACAATTCCCATAATTCACACATGTCTAGGGATAGGAGGTGATTGGATCATGGGGGTAGTTTCCCCCATGCTGTTCTTGTGATATTGAGTGAGTGCTCACAAGATCTGATCGTTTTATGAGGAGCTCTTCCCACTTTGCTCCTCACACCTCTCTCTTGCTCCTGCCACCATGTAAGACATGCCTATTCCCCTTCTACCATGATTGTAAGTTTCCTGAGGCCTTCCCAGGCCTGTGAAACTATGAGTCAATTAAACCTCTTTTCTTTATAAATTACCCAGTCTCAGGTATGTCTTTATAGCAGTGTGAAAATGGGATAATACAAGACCCTCTTCTAAGGACTTTACAAAACATTTTCTTTTTATAACCCATTATAAATATATTAACTCATTTAATTTTTAGAATAACTCTAATAGATAGGTGCTATTATGTTTGCAGTTTACAAATAAGCAAATAAGTGATAGAAGGGATAAAAATATGTCCAAGGTAAAAAGATCTAGATACAAAACTGGGATTCTAAACCAGAAAGTTTGCTCCACCAACTGTGCCCTTAACTAGCTTGTTATCCTGCTTGTTTATTGAGGAAACAAAAATAGTAACTCAGGGTAGTAAATTGAAGTTAGAACCCCTGGGAGTACATACACAAATGTTTGAACACACAGGACATATCAAAGGGGAGGATATAAATAACTTTGAAACTATTTAAAGACATTTCCCATTTATACAAATCATTTAGTGGAAACTATAATTATCCTGGAGATAGCTACTTATTAATATAGACAACTTAATCATAGTTGTTGAACTATGTGTTGTTTTTGAGAAGGACAGTAGGTTTAATTTATTAAAATTCACTGTGTACCACAATCTAACAACAGGTGATTTAACCTATACAAAAATAAATCTAATGGTATTAATGAGCCAAGGAATCTCAAGTCTTTGAAAAGAGGTGGAACTCAGAACAAAAAGTCCTTCTGTAGTCATATTTATACACTATTATTTCAATTTCATCTGATATAGAGGATTTGTAAGAAGAAGGGCCAAATTCATTCTTTGTGTATTTTGTGAATCTTACTAATTATATGTTACTTCCTTTGTCTTGATGGACAATTTTGTTTTGTTGTTTTGTACATTCACTTTCTTCACCAGAAAAATTCATCCAAATAGGATGCTTCTGTGTTTGCATGGTCTAAACATCACACTAAACTTCAATGTCCTTGATTTTGCTTCTCAGATTTGTCATCCGTATTAACTGCAGCCAGATAATTCTCTTTAGGGATTAGATGTAGTTCTGTAAGTGAGCTCCCTTCAGCACATTGAAATCCCTTTGCCGTATGCCTCCATCTTCACTTTTCTTTGTAGCTTTCTTGTTGCCCTGTAATCTCACATGCATCTAACATTTGCTTTTCCTTCCTATTTAGTGCCTTGGTCCCGTACAAAGGAAATTTAGTAGGGGGTAGTGATCCCCAGGGCTCTGTCTTTAGCAGTCTTGCCATTCTATGCTGTGTTCCTTCCAGACCCATACTTCACCACATATAAATATGCTTATATTTATAATCATATACTTTTAGGCACACTTTTTCTGAAAAGTTCTGTGACTTTATCACCAGTTACTTGTTGGGCATTCCTACTCTAAAAAAAAACTCACACTTCAGTGGAAAGAAACAAAAGAGAAAACTACAGTTCAGAATTATATGAACGATGGGAAAGAGGGACATCCAACACAGTCTGGAGTATCAGGGAGATTCCAGGAGACTGGTATATCACAGATGAGTAATAGGAGGCAGTCAAGAACATAGGAAGACAAATGGTGCAAAACCACCACCGACAACAGAGTGGAGCTGCATGAAGCTTAGCTTGACAGCAGCATTGTGGATGAGAGGATAAAGCATAGAAATGTGGCTTAAGAGGTAAGCAGGGCCAAATCATAAAAGGCCTACCCTCTGAAAGTTGTCAGATAAATACTTTAGAACTATAATTCTCAGGGTGGCATGGCAATTAGATTCTAGAAAAGCAAGTCAGGAGTCAAGAAGATGAGCCAGGAATCTACTGCAATTCTCATGACAGAGATGGACTGAATCAGAAGGGTTAGCAATTAAGTTGGCGATAAGCAAATGGATTCAAGAAATAGTTTGAAAGCTAAAACTGACACAGCTTTGCAATTGGATACCAGGTATATGGAAAGGGAGATCTCAAGAATTATATAAAGCTGTAAGGTTTGAGTTCTAGGTAGATTCACGATGTGAACGCAGAAGTTTTTGTTGGAGATGGAAATTGAGGTTCCATTTGAGACATGCTAAATATGAGGTTTCTATGCAACATCCAAGTGCAGGTCCTTGGTAGATGTATAGACACATGGGTCTAGGGAACAGAATGAATATATGGACTCAAGATTTGGTTTTGAATATGGGGAAGGGATGATACAAAGAATATGTGTAAGATCACTGGCTGAGACTAAGCAAGTGTTCTCTAAGACTAGAGGAAAAAGAGCAGGCGTGCAAGGGATATAAAGATATTTGCAGTTAATGGGCATGTGAGAAGTGGGATAGGTCATTTCTGATCTCCTAAGTTACTTCATGATTTAGAAGCTGAGACTATCTACCGGATGTAAAATGAATGAGACTGGATATCAGCTTGAGGACAGTGCTGAATTTTGGAATGGCACTTAAGGCAGTGAAAATGATTAAAGGCAAGTAAAGGAGTTGCCAAGTGACATGAGAGCTGAACTGAGTGTGGAGGGTAGGAGCTCCTTGTGGTGCTTCAGAGCGTGTGATATAACTCAATTTGTGGCCGTCATGCTGAAGTAGAGTCGAATGTTATAAGCATAAGCATGTCAAGCCGCTGTAACCTAAATCCAACAATTTTGTAATATATGCTATTATTTAAGTCCCTCAAATAGCCCTATAGAGTAATACTACTCTTATCTCCATTTTAAAGGTGAAAAAAAAGTTTGAGGAGAATAAGTAACTCGCTCCAGGAAACCCAGAAATTCAGCAGGTGAAACTCAGAAACTCAGGGATGAGACCACATTACATTGGACAAATATGTTTTTTTAAGTACATTAAGTTTGCTTTCTTCATAAAATGACTTTCATTCTGTGAGCAACACTGACCACCAACCTCTAGTAAGATCTAGTGTTTTAGCAAAGGCTTGTGATCCCAGCTTAGAGGCATTTTCAGGCATTCTGTTGAGGGTAGGGTTGAATTTGATAACTTTGAAGCACCTTCTAAATTAAATATTCTGAGTATCCCTCCTCTAAATGACAATCACAGTGTCTTTTTTAAAAATTTATTTCATGATGTAAAATTCCAGGAGTGTCTTAAATTTTAAGTAACTCAATTTCTGTCTTCACTTACTGCTAGATAAAATATATGAGTTTGTTTAGTGTGATTGTGTGTGTGTATGTGTGTGTGCACAGAACCAGAGATTTGACTTTTGCTCTTTATTGCATTTCTTAAACTAGCTACACTTGGCAATTCATTTACATCAATAATTGAAGAGCTATCAGTCTCCTCTTGTCTTAAACTCCTTGCTATGCACACTAATGATATGCATGATTGGCTATTGCCATAAAAATGCACCATAAATTTTTTAAAGATAATTCAGCTACAGAGATGAATCAATATGAATCTACAGTGATAACATATGAGAAACAATTTCTCTAATGCCACTTCAAAGTAGTTAGCTCTCCTCTTGATGAGAACCTGTCACTGCTTCCAGTTGGAGTTTTTAGGCAGTGATTTAGCACTTCCGTCTTTCAAAATCTGCCTAAGGTATTCTGTTCTCATCCACCTAGTTTTTAGACTACCCATCCCTACTAATACTTCTTTGGTTTTCTGCCTTCTAGTTTCTAATGGTTTAGGTGTCCTGTAAGGGAAAAAGACCTATCATGTCTTATGTGTGCCATAAAATTGGGCATGAAATATGTATTGTGCTTAATCATTCATTTATTCATTCATTTGACAGACTGTCATTTGTTTGCCCTTAAATAGAGAGAGGTCTCATATGGGAGACTGCCACCCATTAGAAGACACAATTTGTAACAGAAATAAAACTAACCCTAAGCCCAGTCTGTGCTCACATAGAGGGGCAGTGTCTAAACTGAATAAGGATGTTCTGGGCCCTAAACATGTGATAATTTTGCTTGTTTTATTGTAGAAAGTTGGGACGTGCTATTTGTAGGTCATTCATCAGCCTGGGAAGCCACTATGGGAAAAGGGCTGTAAGGCAGGTACAGCCACTTCTCTCAGCATTGTCTGTCATCAAAATGCATATATTTGTGTTCTAGATAGTGTTGTTTGGCATACAGGGTTTTAACTTGCATACATGTTATTATGCTTTAATATCATTCTATGTCTTTATTCTTCTAAACTATATTTTATATCTATTCATATTGCACCATTTTATACCTAGTTCATTTTTTCCATGATATATTCCAGTGGATCCATAACATATCACTTGTCTACTCCTCTATTGATTATCCCTCAAAACTTTGATTACAGTAAGTGTGTGCACGCGCACACACACACACACTCTAATCAACTACTTTATACATGTCCCATTATAAACTTTGTCTGTGATATGTGCTCAGGAGTAGAAGCGATTAATTATAATGCATATGCTCACTTAATGACATGAGGAACCACCAGAATAATTTCTAGAATGGCTAAGGACTTTGACATAATCAGCGTGCTAGAATTCTTGTCTGCCCACATCTTCACCACCACTGGGCATCCTGGCATCTTTCCAGTTTTTGCTCTTCTAATGAGTGTTGCCTTGTGTTTCATTTTTGTTTAATTACATTTTTTTTCTTATTTCAACTTACTTTGAGTTATTCTTTGGAGAAGTTTCAAATATTTTAGCATATATTCCCGTGAATTGCTTTTGCCCATTTTTCTATTGGATTTCAAACATATTTTTTCCCAAGTTAGAAACAGGATGTTTAGTGAAAGAGGACCAGAATAGTAGTAAAACATAGGGATTCTAAATCCGACAGAGGTTTTTAAATCCTGGATCCATAATGTACTAGCTATGTGATATTAGGGAAGTAGGGAAGTTGTTTAAGCTTCTGTTTCTTTTCTTCTACATGACATCACTAAGGTTTTAATAAATGTTAAATTAAGTAAGCCATTTACTATTACTACTGTATGGCCAATAGTAATCATTTTAAATGTTAACTGATATGTTTGATTTAATCAAAGAAGACCATGTGATCTCTGTCCTCTCCCCTCCCCATCAGTTTTGTCAAAAGGGTCAAGGTAAGTGATGAGAGACTACCACCCTAATATGCATTGTCACTGTGATTTTCTTTTGATAGAGTAATATTTTACTTGCATATAACTTACAATAAAATGTGCAGATCTTAAAAATTCAGTTCTATTATTTTTGACAATTTTATACATGCATGTAATTACCACCAAAAACATTTTAAACATTTCCATCATGTCACATTGTACTTCCCTCAGGTCAACTTTCTCTGCACCCTCAGCCCTGAGGGTATTTTCCTGATTTTGCATAACACATGGTAGTTTTGATTGTTCTTGAGCTTCTTATACATGGAATTATACTGTGTGTGCTCTTTTGTGTCGTGTTTCTTTGGATCAGCAGTATGCTTTCTAATTTATTCACGTTGTTGCAATTATCAGCAATTTATTCTTTTTCATCACTGACTAGCACTCTCTCATATGAATATACCACATATGTTTATGCACTTCCTACTGATAGGCATTTGAGTTACTTCTAGTTTGGGGCCATTATGAATATGGTTGCTAATGATTCTTTATTAGGGTGTGTGTGCTTGTGCATGTGCATGCATGCAGGTGCACATATGTGTTTGTATATCTTGAGGAAATGCCAAAGAGTAGACTAGCTAAGACATAGGGTTAAGGTAGATCTATGTTTACCTTTATCAGAACTACTAAATAGTCCTCCAGTGTGGTTAAACCACTCTACACTCCTGGCAGCAAGGTAATAGAGCTCCAATTGTTCCACATGCTTGCCAGCATTTGACATTGGCCATCTTTTTTTTTTTTTTTTTTTTTTTTTTTAGCCACTCTATTGGGTGTGAAAATATATCTCACTGTGGCTGTGATTTCATTATTTGATGACATATTCCCTATTCATGTGTTTATTTGCCATTTTTATGTTTTCATTTGTGGAGTATCTATTCAAACATCTTGCTTGGTTTTGTTTATATTCAGTTGTCTTATTGTAGATTTCTACATATATGTATATATTTCTATATTGTAGAAATCAGCAATAAAAGAAGACAACTCAATATAAGCAAAAGGCTATATATATATATATATATATATATATATATATATACAAGCTCTTTTAAAAAATATTCTGTGAATATTTGCTCCAATTATGGCTTTTTGATTTTTTAAATATTGCCTTTTTATTAGAAGAAATTTAATATCAATAAAATTTGGTATCTCTCTTGTTTTCTTTTACACTCTGTGATTTTTTTTGTTTTCCATCTAAAAATATTTCTTATACAATGTAATGAAAATATTCTCTGGAATTTTTCTTTCATTAGCTTTATTATTCTAGCATTCATAAGATGTTTCAACCTACGGCTCATCTTGCATTTTTGTGTTTGGCGTGAAGTGGGAATCAATGTTTAATTTTCATAAATAGAATTCTGGTTCTTCCAAACTTTTTTTTTTTAATTTAGGCTTTTCTTTTCCTGTTTAATTTATTTTGCATTGTTCAAAAATCAATTAAGTAAATATTTATGGGTGATTTATCCACTTTCTCTCATTGATCATACATCAGTGCTACATTGTCTGTATTACTAGAGATTTGTATTAAATCTTAAAATCAGGCAGTATAAGTCCTCCAATTTTATTTTCCCAAGATAATTTTGGCTATTGTAGATAATATGCATTTCCATATTCAAGCTTGTCAATTTCTTCAACAGCAATGACAATAGCCTTGTGGGGTTTTAATTGCATTTGGGTTGAATCTATAAAAAATTTCTTATGAGAACTGACATCTTAACAATATTGAATCTTCCAATCCATAAACATGATATATATCTCCATTTACTTGTCTTCAAATTCTGTCACTAATGTTTGGTAGTTTTCAATTTAGAGGTCTTACACATCTTTCATTGGGTTTATTCTTCAGGTTTTTAAATGTTTTTTCATACTTTCATAGATAGTAGCTAATATATACTTTTTCAGTTTGTTGATAATACATAGAGATATAATTAATTTTGGTGCAACAACCCTGCACCCCATCATCTTGCTAATTTATTCATACTAGCATAGTTTTTCGTAAATTTCATAGGTTTTTTTTTTTTTTTCTTTTCTTTTTGAGACAGAGTCTCGCTCTGTCACCCATGCTGGAGTATGGTGGTGCCATCTCAGTTCACTGCAACCTCTGCCTCCCAGGTTCAAGCGATTCTCCTGCCTCAGCCTGCTGAGTAGCCGGGACAACAGGTTCATGCCACCATGCCCGAATAATTTTTTATTTTTAGTAGAGATGGGGGTTTCACCACATTGGTTAGGCTGGTCTCGAACTCCTGACCTTGTGATCTACCCGCCTCGGCCTCCCAAAGTGCTGGGATTACAGGCATGAGCCACTGCGCCTGGCTGATTTCATGTTTTATGTATACAAAATAAGTCATCTTTGAAGAATAATAGTTTTAATTCTTTTTCATCACATTCATACAATTCATTTCCTTTACTTGCTTTAATACAAAACACTTATAGTGCCATATTTAATGGAAGTGGTGAGAATGAGAAACTTTCCTCATTTTCAACTTAAAAATGTCCACTAATTTGGCATCATTAAATGAGATGATAAGTGTAGTTTTTATGACAAAATATATAAATATTGAGGAGGTTTTTATTTTTCTTTAGATTCACAGTGTACTGAGAGGTTTGAACAATTATGAATTGTTATTGGATTTTGTCAAATGCTTTTACTACATCTATAGATTAGAATAGTAGTATAATTTTAACCATTATTCTGTATAGTGAATTATATTGCTTACTTTTTATGTTACAACAACCTTGCCGTCTTGAGGTGAGCCCCACTTGCTGAAAATTTATTAGCCTTTATGTTATATATTCCTAGATTTAGTTGGCTGATATTTAGTCAAAAATGGTTGCCTCTATGTTATGAGAGATATTCATCAGTAATTATTTTTTTTAAAATTTCCTCTTAGTGTCAGAATTATGCTGAACCTATAAAATGAAGTGGAAAGTGTTTATTCCTCATCCATTTCTAAAACAAACAGACATCTTGTGTAGCATGGCTGTTAATCTCTCTTAAATGATTAATAAAATTCTTGGGCGGAGTCTCCAGGCCTGGAGTTTTCTTTATGGCAGTGTTTCAGATTGTGATTTAATTACTTATAGTTCTATGCAGGTTTTTCATTTCCACTTGTAGCAGCTGTTTTCGAATAATCTTATTAATTTTAAAGTGCCAAATTTATTGCCATACATTTTTTAAATATTTCCTCATTATCATGCTAATGTTTGTAGGATCTATAGTGATGTTTTCTTTTTGTGTTCTTAATATTGATCATTTGAGATTGGTCTTTTGTTCTGTGTTTTGTCATCTTGGCTTTTTATCAATTTAATTAACTTTTCAAAGAAACTACTTACGCATTTGTTGTTTTCTGTATTGCTTGTCCATTTTCTATTCAATTCATTTTTGCTTGTATATTAACATTTGTTGTTTTAACTGTTTTCTTATTTTGGATTTAGTTTTTTTTTGGTACTTTTATAAACTGGAATATTAGATTATTAAGTTTTATACTTTTCTTCATTTTCTAATGTAGGCATTTAGTGCTATAAAATTCATTATAATTAATGTGTAGCTGCATTTCACACATTTTGATAGTCTCTGCTTTCATTATCATTTAGTTTGAAAGATTTTCTAATTTCCCATGTGATTTATGTACCCAGGAGTTATATAAAATTGTGTTATTTAATTTCCCAATACTTAGAGATGTACTTGTTGATATTATTATTGATTCTTAGCTAAATACCATTGTTGTCAGAAAATATGCTTTGCTTATTTAAATTATAAAATATTTATTAAGCTCAGCATATGGTTTATCTTAGTGAATGTTGCATGTTCACTTGAAATTAATGTGCCTTCTTCAGTGTGGGAGTGTAATGTTCTCTAAATGTCAATTCAGTCAAGTTGGTTGATAATTTGTTGTTGCTGCTGCTATTGTTGCCTTTTTCGCACATCCTCTATACTTAATGATTTTTGGTCTGGATGTTCTATGAATTATTGTAAATATGGATGTCTTTATATTTCCCTGTGTAATTCTTTATATTTTCCTTTGGTTTTATCTATTTGTTTTTTCATGTATTTTAAAAATTATTTATTGAGGTAAAATTCATATAACATAAAATTGAACATTCTAAATTGAACAATTCAGTGGCATTTAATACATTCACAATGTTGTTTAACCACCACCTCCATCTAGTTCAAAACATTTCCATCCATACAATGCGCAACATCTTACCCATGAAACAGTTCTTCCCCTTCCACCTCTTTCTCAGCTTCTGGCAACTACCAATCAGTGCTTTGTCTCTATGAGCTTATCTATTCTGGAGAGTTTATATACATGGAATCATATCATATTTGTTCTTTCGTGTCTGGCTTCTTTCACTTAGCATAATGTCTGTAGGTGCCTCCATTTTGAAGTATGTGTCAATACTTCATTCCTTTTTATGATTTAATAATTCCATTATATGCATATGACACAATTGTTTATCTATTCATCCATTGATGGAAATCTGGGCTGTTTCCAACTTTTGGCTATTGTGAATAGGGCCACCCTGAACATGAATGCACACATACTCATGTGAGTGCCTTTTTAAAATTATTTTGAGTGTACACCAAAAATTGCAGTTATTTGGTAATTTTGTCTTTAACTTTTTGAGGAATTACCAAAATCCTTCACAGAGCAGCTGAAACTTCCCACCTGTAATGTATACAAATTCCAATTCTTCCACATCCTCACCATCACTTGTTGTTTTCCATTTTAAAAAATTATAGTCCTCCTGGTGGGTATGAAGTAGTACTTCACTGTCATTTTGATTTCAATTTCACTAATGATTAATAATGTTAGACATATTTTTATGAGTTTTCTGGGTCTTTGAATATTGTCTTTGGAAAAATGTTTATTCAAGTGCCTTATCCATTTTTAAGTTAGGTTGTTTGAATTTTGTTGTGGAGTTTCAAGAATTGTTTATATATTCTGTTTAATAGACCCTTATTAAATATATGATTTGCAAGTATTTTCTGTAGATTCAGTAAATTCTCCATTCTCTTTAATTTTCCAATTAAAAGTTGCCTTTTCACTTTTTAGATAAAAGTTTGTGCTTTAAAATGTATTAAATTGTGATGACATGCTATTTGTCTATTTTTTAAATAGTGCATGCTTTTTGTGTCCTACCTAAGAATCTGGTGATAAATCCAAGGTCATGAAGATTTATCCATATTTTTTCTATAAGTTTCATTGTTTTAATGCTTATATTTAGGTCATTGACTCATTTACAACTTTGTTGTGTACATGATTTAGGTTGAGGGTTCAACTCTATTCTTTATTTTTTTTGAATGAGAAATTTTATTGTATTGAGCCATTGTCATATTGGCATTGTATATAATAGTGTTTAGATTTCCCTGATTAATAAATATTTTGGTACTGTTTTAAGCAAGTATTTAGAAATTGATTCATTCTTTATTTTATTGTTTATTTTTTTTTCAAGAAGGAGTCTTCCTCTTTTGCCCAGTCTGGAGTGCAGTGGCATGATCTTGGCTCACTGCAACCTCCACCTCCTGGGTTCAAGTGATTCTCCTGCCTCTGCCTCCTGAGTAGCTGGGGCTACAGGCAGATGCCACCACACCTGGCTAATTTTTGTATTTTTAGTAAAGATGGTGTTTCGCCATGTTGGCCCGGTTTTTCTCAAACTCCAGACCTCAGGAGATCGGCCTGCCTCAGACTCCCAGAGTGCTGAGATTACAGGTGTGAGCCATCGTGCCTGGCCTGATTCATTCTTTTTAAGGTTATTTGATTTTTAGTTGACATGTAATAATTGTACATATTTATGAGACACAAGTAATATTTTCATACATGTATACCATGCATAATGATCAAATCAGGAGTATTAGCAAATCTATCACCTTGAATATTTATCATTTCTTTTGTCATGAACATTCAAAATTCTCTATTCTAGCTTTTTGAAAATAAAATTATTGTTAACCATATTCACCCAGTAGTGCTACAGAGCATTAGAATTTAATCCTAGCATTAGCTGTAACTTTGTATCCATAAACCAGTCTTTTCTTATTCTCCCTTCCCCTTCCCGTTCCTAGCCTCTCATAACCTGTATTCTAGTCTCTACTTTTATAAGCTTTTTTTTTTTGCTCCCACGTATAAGTGAGAACATGCAGTATTTATCTCTCTGTGTTTGACTTATTTAAGATAATGTTCTCCAGGTTCATCCATGTTGTCACACATGACACTATTTTCATACTTTCTCATGGCTGAATAGTACTCTACCAACTTCATTGTTGTTTATAAATATCCATTTGTTCCAGCACTGTCTGTTGAAGAGGATATTCTATCCCCATTGAATAGTCTTAGCAACTTCTTAAAAATCAACAGGTCGTAGATAGATGGACATATTGATGTATTCCGAATTCTGTTCCATTAGCCTCTGTCTATTCTTATGCCAAAAGCACACTATTTTTATTACTGCAGTTTTCTAGTAAATTTTAAAGTTGGGAACTCTGAGTCCTCCAATATTGTTCTTGTTTTTCAAAATTATTCTGGCTCTGTGGGCCCCTTTCAATTACATATACATTTGAGGATTCACTTTTCTATTTCTTCAGAAAATGAGCATTAAGAAATGCTACTGTTTGCATTGAATGTGTTGATCACCTTGGGTAGTATTGCCATTTTAACAACATCTGGTCTTCCAATTCATGAACACATGATAACTTTCAACTTGTTTACATCTTTTAACATTTATTTCAGCAATGCCTCATAATTTTCAGCCTGCAAGTCTTCCACATGTTGGATTAAATTTAAGCCTTAGTATGTCATTCCTAACTTCATTCCATTGTGGTTGTAGGATATATTTTGCATTATTTTAGTCTTAAAATTATTCAGACGTGTTTTTGGTCTAACATCACTTTGAATAGGTATATTTCATTCTTGTGGATGGTATTGTAAATATTTTTTTTAATTTCCTTTTTGGATTGTTTATTGCTGTTGTATGGAAACATGATTGATTCTTCCCTGTTGGTCTTATATCATGCAACTTTGTTCAATTTGTTTGTTAACTCTAGTTACTTTTTATGAATTCTTGGCTTTTTTTTCTATAGAAGATCATGTCATCGGTGAATAGTTTTAGTTCCTTCTTTCCAATAATAATGTTTTATTATTTATTTTTCTTGCCTTAATACTTTGGCTACAAATTTCAGTGTATTTCAAATACTTTGGCTACAAATTTCAGTATATTTCAAATTTTACTATTGCTATTGAATAGCAATAGTAAAAGCAGGCCTACTTGTCTTGTCCCTGGTCTCAGAGGGAAAACTTCCAGTTTAGCACTGTTGACTACAACCTTAGATGCTGGTTTTTCAAAAATGTCTTTTATCATGTTGAGAACATTCCCTTTTATTCTTAATTTTCTGAATGTTATGAAATAGTATTAAATTTTGTCAAATCTTTCTTATGTAAATTGATATAATCATATATAAATGTCATTTGTTCTGTTAATGTGTATGTTACAGTGATTAAGTTTCTTATATAAAAACATCCTTCCATTCTTTGGATAAATATCACTTGGCCATGATGTATAATC
This sequence comes from Homo sapiens, assembly GCF_000001405.40. Lineage (NCBI taxonomy): Eukaryota > Metazoa > Chordata > Mammalia > Primates > Hominidae > Homo > Homo sapiens. The sequence continues at coordinate 22,041,149 of NC_000002.12, read as the reverse complement.
CTTTTAGCATGCTATTGGATTTAATTTGCTAATATTTTGTTAAAGATTTGAGCTTCTATATTTATAATGAATATTGGCTTGTAATTTTATTTTCTTATATTGTTTTTCTAGCTTTGGTATCATGGTAATGCTGGCCTCAAAATGAGTCAGAAAGTATTTCGTCCTACTCTATGTTTTTGAAGAATTTGAGAAGTATTGATACTAATTTTTCTTTAAATGTTTAGTAGAATTTACCAGTGAAGGCATCTAGTTCTGGATTTTCCATTTTTGGGAGATGGTTGATTAGGAATTCAATCTCTTTACTTTTTCTAAGTCTGTTCAGATTTTCTGTTTCTTCTTGAGTCAGAGTTGATAATTTGTGTATTTCTTAGAATTAGTCCATTTTATTTAGGTTATCTAATTTGTTGGTATTAAAATTCATAGACTGTTTTTTTAATTATTTTTATTTCTGTAAGTAGTAGGGGTACTTTATTCCAGTAGTAGCATTATCAATTTCATTTCTGACTTTACTTGGTGTTTTTTGGTTTTTGATTTTGCTGTTCTAGCTAAAGATATCTCAATTTATTGATCTTTTCATAAACTGTCCTTTGTTTTTATTATCTCTAGAGCTTTTAGTTTCTAGCTCATTTTTCTTTAATTGACTTTATTATTTATTTTCTTCTGCTAGCTTTGGATTTAGTTCGCTCTTCTTTGTCTAGTTCTTTAAGGTGTAGCATTAGTTTGTTAAATTCAGATCTCTCTTATTTTTTAATGTAGGTATATTCAGCTATAAATTTCCTTCAGAGCCCTGCCTTTGGTGCATCCCATATATTTTGGCATGTATATTTCCATTTTCATTATCTTTAAATATTTTTAATTACCTTTGTGTATTTTCTCATTTCACTGGTTGTTTAAAAATGTGCTGTTTGATTTTTACGTATTTTAAAATTTTCCAGTTTTTCTGCAGTTATTAATTTCTAACTTCATTTCATTGTGGTTAGGGGATATATTTCATGTCTTTACTCTTTTAAATTTATTCAAATTTGGTTTTGGTTTAATAGCCCCTTTTAATTAATATCAACTTAAACTTCAATATCATACAAAAAAATCTATTATACATCTCTACTCAAACTTTTTATGCTGTTGTCAAACATATCCATATAAATTATATATAATATAGATTTATAGTTATTTTTATAAATTTTAAAAATGATTCAGGAAATGAAAAGTGGAGTTACATTCTAAAAATACATAATATTGGTTTCAAAATTTGCTTATATACCTATCTTTGCTGGAAGTCTTTACTTTTTTTCGTGTGGCTCTGTGTTGCTTTCCAATGTCCTTTCATCTCAACTTGAAAGACTTCCTTTAACATTTATTGTATGGCTGAGCTACTGGTAATAAACTCTCTCTACTTTTACGATCTGTGAATGTTTTAATTTTATATTCATTTTTGAAGAATACACTTGCCACTTGTAGAACTATTGGTTGATATTTATTATTCTTTTAGCACTTTATACCCTCATACTGCCTTCTGTTCTACTTGGTTTCTGATGAGACATCAGCTGTTAAATAAATTGAGGATAACTTGTAAGTGATAAGTTGCTTCTCTCTTGATGTTTTCAAGTTTCTGTTTATCTTTGTCTTTCAACAATTTTATTATTATATGTCTCAGTGTAGCTCTCTTTGGGATGACCCTGCATGGGGTTCTTTGAACTTCTAGGATGTATAGATTCATGTCTTCCATCACATTTGGGAAGTTTGGGCCATTATTTCTTTAAATATTATTTAGCCTCTTTCTGTCTTCTTTTTCTGAGAGCTACATATTTGCATAGGTTGATCTGCTTGATTGTGTCCTACAGGTTCCTTAGGCTCTGTTTACTTTTCTCCATTATTTTTCCTCTGCTCCTTAGACTGAGTAATTTAAATAGTCCTATATTTAAGTTTGCTAAATCTGTCTTCTCTCTGCTTAACATTGTTGTCGAACTGCTGTAGTTTTTCATTTCAGTGATTGTAAAACTATATTCAGTTATTATTTAGTTTTTTGAGCATATTTAACACAGGTAATTCAAGATATTTTTCTACTTGTTACATGGCCACTAATGTCTCTCTTCCTATGGCTTGTGTTCAACTAGCGTTTGATGGAAAGTCAACTTGTGTTTAATGCCAAGAGATTTCAAAAAGCAACAACAACAAAAACCACCTTGTCCATTTGTAGATTTTTCTCTGTGCTGGGGCACTTCTTTAACACTTTGCCAGGCCATTTACAACTCTGCCTAAGGCTTCATTACCTGCTTGTACTGTGCCTGGTGATCAGCCAGAGGTAAAGCATTAGGGCATGCATTTGACTTTCAAAATTCTTCAGCATACATGTGTACTTTTGAATGCCTTTGACATTTGGATAATATATTCTTATATTATCCAACACGTGTATTTTTGAATGCCCTAATTTCCCCAAGACTCCCCTTCTCTGGATATTTTTCTCTCAGACTTTAAACCACCTATTGTATGTCTCAACGGTAAGTTTTCCCCAGATGCCATCAGATTCTTCTTCCACCTTGCAGTGTTTTAAAGCAACACCTTTTAGTTTTCTTCCCTGAATGAGTTTTGATTTAAGTCAAACAGAGATAAGCACCTTGCATCAGTCCTTCGAGTAGCTGCCAGACAGGTTAGCAAAGACAGAAACAATAATGTGTGAATAAGATCTGCTCTGCTCTCTCTGGAACAAGGGACCAGGTTCTCATACTGACTGAGGCTGCGGGCTGCCATATTCAAGACTGTCATGAAGCCAAAGAAAGGTAGATAAAATCACCAGAAACATTTCCCACTGTTTTTTAAGTTGTCTTTTTCTTGATATACAGTTTTCTCAGTTGCTGTAGACCTGTGATTGTTTTCCAGAGTTCTGAGAGAATTGGTTCTGATCATTTATGGTTATTTCTCAATGTTTCTTTGTACAGAGAGGTGGTTGTATCTGCCTATTCTGTCATCTTACTGACATCATTTGCTTCGTGTATTTGAAACACTTTTATAAAGTATATTTACATTTATGATTCTTATGTATTTTGACTATTTGACACTTTATCATTACTCTTTGCTTTGACATCTTATTCTGTGTGATTCAAGATAAACACTCCAACCTCTTTATGCTTAGTATTTGCTTTATCATGTGCCTTGGAGTTTTTGATTGAATGCCAGCCATTTTTGTGAAGTAGAACAACAAAGACAGGTAAACAAGGTCTGAATCCAAATAATAGTTTACCACATCTTCTGTCAGGACAGCATTGAGGGGAGTGCTCTGAGTGAGTCTAATCTTTGGATGGCCTGTGTCAAGTTATTCTTGCAGGTTTAATCGATTTTGTTTGCCTCTAATTTCAAATTTTTGAGGGCCAAATTGGGATTTTAGATTTCCTTTAGAAAGGCTCAGGACCTGAACAGTAGAGATATTCCAGAGTTCTCTTTATCCTTTAAAAATAAGCTGCCAGTTTTATGAATGCTGGGAGATCTCGCTGTACGTTGCAGACTAGCACTAAGCTTTTTGGTTACTTAACAATTTTCTGTGTTAATTCCCACCACGTCCCCTGTTTTCTGTGCTGCCGGAGATATCTCTCGTCTTTGCTGCTCCATTCCAACTTTCAGAGCACAGCTGCAGTACACTTGTGAAAAAGAGATTTCTGTGAGCTTTCCTGCTGGCCTTTGGCGCATTTCCTGTTTTGCATTTCATACGGGAATGAGTGTTTGTGTTGGTGTAGTCTCAGCCTGGGGCTAGTACTCTTCAGGATTTGAATCCATTTTTCTAGTTCCCACATACGTTTCATAAATGTGTAGAAGGTTGGATTTCTTCTTCAATTTTCTGGCCTGTGGTGAGTTTGTTCTCTGCTAGAGATGATAGTAATCCTGTGTTTTTTTTCTCACGGCAAGTTCTCATAATTTTTTGAAATTTAGTTTGGTGAGGCTCTCTTATGGGTTTCTAAAGAGCTAACTGCTTCTCACATTAGATAGGAACAATGGTCTCTTACAGACTTCTCCGCTATGCCTTTGGTTTTGTACATATATATATTTATTTCAAACACCAAATCTCCTCAAGAAGTCCAGACTAAGATCCACCATGCTTTAAGCCTTTGGTAAACACTATCAGAGTTCACAAAGGCAGTGTTCAGCAGATAAAACTCTGAGCATTAAGTCTAGTTAGTATTTAGGAGTTTAGGCCATTAAATTTTTTTTTCAAATGCAGAATTTTTATTTTTAGGTCACTGTGCCCCTTCAGAAAGTCTTTCATATTGCTGACTTTCTTGACACTAGGGTGAAAGATTATGAATAGTTTAAAGGGACTGTTGATAACCATCAGAATTAACTATGTAAAAATACATTTATAAGTGAGTCATTGTTCACCAATTGACTCATTGTTATTTCTTTCTCTAATAATGGGTCTAATATATTTTACTATTACTACTAATTTTACTACTATTACTAATACATTGTACTAACGTATGTTCTGATTTCAAAATAAGGATGGTTTTAGAATGTGATTTTAGAAAACAAATCTAATATTTTAAAGAAAAGTATTTAAATAATGCTTAACAATATCAATATGTTTGTGATTTTCTTTTCTAAATATATGCACATAGTTTTACATATAATGCGGTATCACATCAGGTAGGACATTTACTCTTATTTTATAAATTCAGATATGTTTGAAACACTTCTTTTATTTTTCATAACAAGACAACCTTTATTCACCATACATTTCCTCCTTCCACCCTCCTTTAACTTGTGTCTTCACCACCCAGATGACCCAAGCTTCTGTTTCTTTCTGTAGCTTACAATGCTATAGAAGCTTTAATTACCTGACCCTTATTTGAGTCTTCTATTTTGTGGGATTCCCATGTATATGCAGGTAATTATATATGTTTTTTCTTCTATTAATCTGTCTTATGTTAATTTAATTCATAGGCCAGCCAAAGAACCTATAAGGGTAGATGGAAGCCATTTTCTATTCCCCCACTTCTTCAAAATATTTTATTTTAGTTTTAGTTTAATAAGTTTTGTGGTACACGTTGTTTTTGGTTACATGGATAAGTTATTTAGCGGTAATTTCTGAGATTTTAGTGCACTCATCACCTGAGCAGTATACATTGTACGCAATATGTAGTCTTTTATCCCTAACTCCTCTCCCAACCGAGTGCTCAAAGCACATTATATCACACATATGCCTTTGCATCCTCATAGCTTAGTTTCCTCTTATAAGTGAGAACATATGATATTTGGTTTTCCGTTCCTGAGTTACTTCACTTAGAATAATGGGCAGTTTAAAATCTAATGTGAATATATCTTAGAAGTCTAGAAAGCATGTGGAACTATTCTCTTTCTGGGCTGTGAGCCCTTAGAGTTCTCCCTTCTGATTGCTTCATCTACTACACATAGCTGCTCCCATACAGAAACTTTCTAACATAATTCCTGTCCTCCCTTTAAATAAGCAGAAAGGAGGATGGAATGAGGAAGTTTCTAAAAGAGAAGAAAGCTATAGGGGAGAATAAAGGGTTAGAGAGAGAGCCAGAAGGGAAAAGGCTGAGAGCCTGGCTGAAATATTGAAAACAGATGATTACAAGGGAGGCTCCTGGGAAAACTCAGGCAGGCTTCCTGGCAGAACAGGAGGCTGGTGTCTAGAGCTCAGTAACTCAGCTCCCATGTGTCCTCGGTATCATCTGTGTAGAAAGTCAGCTAGCAAAGGAATGGGGGAGGCTGGCTCTGTTCCTGTAAGTTATTTCTGGATGCATTATTCATATTTGATAAATCATTTAGAGGCAGCTACTTTATTAGCTTATAAAGCACATTATATGGTTTTAAATTGTTAATACAGGCTGTTGTGATGCATATTGTAGCTCAGAAAAGCCATGCATCACTTTAATTCATAGCCTCATTATAAAGCTTGTTACAAAGTGCTGCATTATTGCATGAAGGATAGTCGAGCAACGTTTCTACAAGAAACCTGAATGTTTTATTTACATCATTGGTGGCTTGGTATAGCCCATAAGAAATGCATTGGAAGATGGAACTAGATCAGATTTTAAACTTCTTAAGGACAGAGACCAAACATCCTACTCTTCCAGACCTCTCTTACTCTAGACTTTGCACCTGGTGCTAGCCTGGTTTCTGCATAATAAGTATTCAGAAAAGTTTTGCTTCAGTGAGCAGTCACTTGGTGACCTTGGACAAGTTGGCTTGTCTACTTCTTGTCAATATTCAGAAAGACTGGTATAAGCCTGAGCCCAAGTCCTAATTATAATCTATTCATTTAAGAGACTTTGATCACTATCTATGTGCCAGGAACTCTGCTGGACATTGGAGATAAAATATTTTGCAGCATATCCCTACTCCCTGGCTTCATGACGTTTACCACCGCTTCTACTGAAAAGGAGAAATGGAATGTATTTTTATTGGAGCATTGAAATTAATTGAGTTTTATATAATTTGTATATGACGAGGGTAGTATAGTAGTAAATTAACCTAATATCTAGAAGTCTGCGTGATCAGTAGACCTTCATTCAAACGGAAGATAAAACCATTTCTCCAGGAAGTGAGCTTGAGAAAGAAGTTCAACAACAACAACAAACCACCTAAGTGTGAGTCCTAGTTCCTCACTGGCTGCTTGTTCTTGGTCATTTAGCCTCTACTTGTGCTCAGTTTTCCTCTGTAAAATGAGAAAATTGTTGCCTGTCTCATTGATATGTACACAAATGCTTAGCTGCAAGTCTGGAACACTGCAGGTGCTCAGCACATTTATTGTTTCAATCATTCCGCAATTGAAAGCAGAAGGTGGACATACTCCTAAAATTCACCTGAACCGTAATAGGTGCACACCATGGCAGTCACAACTATAAAGCATCAAGGATGAAACTGTATTTTAGGTTAGTGTTAAAGCCTTCAAATGTTATAGGTTCTCTTTGGTTCATGTATAATCCAGGTGGGTACCGTGTGCCTTGACATCTTTCACTACTGGTAAATTGCTACTCTCTATACATAGCTTTATAAGACTAAAAGAATGTCCTGTCACTCAAAATCGGCAGAAACCTTCATCAGCTGGGGGCGAGGATTCATGATAAAGAGGCAACAGAAATGATGTAAATTTGAAGACAGTCATGAAGGGCATTGAACGTTAGTCCAAAAAATGCTGGCTGATGAGCAGACAATAGGGAGCCAATGCTTTTCTCTAAAGGCTTAAGGAAAATGCTACATCATTAGCATTTGACTTTTGAAAGGCATATGGATCTATGTGGGTAAAGAGAGGAGGGGGTGGTAGGTGTGGAGCCTATATGAAAAGAAAAACAAAAAAACATGTTTTAAGAAGTTTGGATGGGACAACTGCCTTATTGTCTTCCAGATTCTGCATTTTCTGCTTCCCTCAATTTTCCTGACATCCCTACCACCTCTAACTCACGTGGACCACCAGGGTTCCATGTTGACACAGTTTTCCTTCCATGCTACAGAAAAATAATGCCACCTGTGACCTGTCTATAAGAAATAAGTGCCCCTGTAAGTTTCCTAAGGACATCCAGGAAAGGCAGAGATAAGAAAACTTAGGAAGGAAAGAAAAGTAATACCTGAATGATATTATTACACTAAACTTTGAAATTAGAAAGCGCCTTCTTCCTATATGAGGAAAATGTACAATAACATTTGCCCCTGTATTTATTGCTAGCTTATGGAATGATGAAGTGTAGATGACTGTGCCCCAAATCACCCGCATGCTGTGCCTTAGTCTTACTAGAAATAATTTTTCATAATTTAATAAACGCTTCTCTAATTTTTTTAATTTTATTTTAAGTTCCGAGGCACATGTGCAGGATGTGCAGGTTTGTTACACAGGTAAACGTGTGCCACTTTCTGAATGCTAAACCAGAATAAAAGGACGAGTCTCACACATTTTAGAGTTAATGAAGTTCAACGTTAGCAAGTTATTTACATCAAAAATAAGCATAGGATTAAAAAAGAGGGAATCTGTGCAAATACTTTTTTTAGATGAGATTTGTGCTAACAGGTGAATATCCAGACCAAAGAAACTTCTTCATCTGGCACTCTTTGATTTATTAATCCATGAAATAGAGTAAGGGATAGAAGTACAAACAACAGCAATGCCCCCAAAAGAAGAGTTGCTAACATTGACGGACTTTCTTCTAACTTTTTGTTTACAAAACTAGCACCTGTATATATTTTAACTCTAATTCCAAAATTTCAGCCTCTTCATTATGTAGGAAGCAGATAAGTGGTGGATTCTTTTATTTCCTTCCCTTGGCATTAGATATGGGAAGTTGGCAGAAAAAACTCATAATCTTAGCTAATTTGCAGGAACTCATGGGTTCATACAGAAACCATGACAATCAAGAGTTTCAGTCTTTAGCTGGTCAAGTGACGTGCACCGAAATGGGTTCTCCTCTCTCCCTTGGTTAAGACTGAAATACTTAGTCAGTGCATGTCTACAGTAAATTCCAAGACTGCCTTTTCCAAGTTCAGGGAAATCTTCCCAAGAGTTACCAGGAAATGTCTCCCATGGAGCATCTGGGAAGATGTTAGAAGATTGGGATTGCTTTTATTCAGAAGCTTAACCATGAACCATTTTTCAGCTCCTTTTATTTTGCTTGTTCTAGACCCCAAGACCTCAAGGCCTTGGCTGCTGTGTTGTCAATATCCCTCTTCTTTAAAGTAAAGCAACAAAGCAGAACGGTTTCCCAGGTGCCTCTTTTTGTTTCAATACAAAGCATGGAGGCTTCTTTTAGGTTTCATGTGTTTACTGTTAGTGAAAACAGAGAAACAGAGGGGTGAAGAATAAACATGAAACACACACACACACACACACACACACACACACATGCATGCAAACACTTCCACAATATCTCTTGCATTTATGCAGGTCTTTTAGAATGTATAATCATTCTATAGTCAGGATCTTATAGGGAAGGGGCAATGTTACCTTTACCCCTACTATATGTATAAAGAAACATAGGTCTTAAAAATTTAAAAGATTTACCCTTTAGCTAGAAATGGTGGAACTGGAGATGTTATTAATGCTGACTCTCTTGGCTGCCTGGCTCCTTCTAACACAGCATGAGGAACGCTTAGCAGTGCTGGTAAGAATTTCTCTAGAATTTGCTAAAATGTCAGTGAGATGAAGCAGGTTTTTATATTGTTATCATTTGTAAGCATTTACAACTTGCCATACAATATATGTCTATATGCGTATGTATGTATGGAATTCCATGCTAACAATCCCACAAGAGAGGTATTTTCTTCCTAATTTTGTAGATCTGAGTGTCTATTCTAATTGCCCATTTTGAACCATGTACTGAGTCCTGTCTGCCTCCAGCCCCATCATACCCTCTGTCATCAAAGGATCTCTGAATTACTCCTTCGGATAATCAGACATGATCGCTTTCCTGCTCTTCTAGTCCTGCATGTCCTCCATATCACTATGGAAAGCAGTGAAGTGTGGGGCAGGAGTTAGGTGTGTAGCTACCTTCTTCTCATTCCTTACTTCTTGTCCCCCTATTAGCCTCTTCTAGACCTAGTCTCTAAGTGACTTCTGATCTTCTTAGACAGTAGCCTGAGTTACTTTGGACCATTGTGGCATGCAATTCCAGAGGGCACCATTTACTTTTGTACTTACAGTCATGAGTATTTGTGGACACACGGTAGTGAAGTGTTAGGAGGAACAGGTGCCCTTTTATTCACATATACAAATGTGCCATTTGAGCCAGAGGGCTATTAGTGACTCTGCCCCCTCTCAGGCAGAGGTGATCTGGCCTTCCCTCTTGCATATCCAACTTCTCTTCCCAATTATCTGAATGATACTTAGTCCTTTGTTCCAGATGAAAGATTCGCAATATAATTATTAGAAGTTATAGGTATATATTCCTTTCTACAGATAACTAGATTCAACGTTTTCGTCAAGTCTAAACAAGCAACTTGTTCTCAACATAACAAATTGCATTGCATTTGACAAGTCTGTACATTTGCTGTATTTCCTCCGCATTAACAAAATGTAACATAATAACCAAGTTCTCTAAACTACTGTATTAACTCCCTAACAAAAGAAAAAAAAATCTTTCATTCCTCGACCACTGATAATTAAACAAAAATTTCTTTTCTATTTTTTGGCTAATTAACTGGTTTAGCATGACCATTTTTTCTCATCTCTGTTATTCTTTGGAAACGTGAACTGCTATATTCCTTTATATAAAAATTTTGAAATGGAATGAACATCTTCTGGTATTGGACAAGTAGAGTGTTTCCATTTTCTCTTTTGCTATTATAAATATCATGAGCATCTTTGTGCATATTTAAAGAATTTCTTCAAAAGATGAATTCTGAGAAATAGAATCACTTGGCAAAATAGGAGTATGTCTAATGATCTTGAAACGTGGAGCCAAATTGATTTACAAGGAACATTTTGTTGTTTTGTTCCCCTAGTAGAAGCATTTCAAAAGCCTGCCACAGTCCACTATCACCAACCTTGAAATAATTTGATAACAAAGAATATCCATATGTTTTAATATGCATTTTTTCTTCTAGAGAAGTTATTCGTTCACATGTTTATTAGATATATTATGTTTATATTTCTTCTTTTTAAAACATTTTTTTCATGTTCATAGCCCATTTGTCTATTATTATGTTAGTGCTTTTCTTATTTTCAGGGGCACATTATTTATTCAAGATATTATTCTTTGTTTATAATCTATTTAATATATATTCTTGAGCTGATGTTTTTACTTCTCTTTCTTTTGTCTTTGAGGGCCCACAACCCTCAAGTTATCCTTGATGTGAGTGGAATATTTATTTATGGATGATTGTAGAATTTTATATTTTTACTTTTTAGAAGTAATTTCTTAAATTACCTGGAAAGTATGTATCTCTGTATATCTAGGTGGCATGTTGTAAGGATTATCCAATTAGATAATTTTCCAACTACCTGTACTAAATATTCAACCCTTCCCCATTGGCTGGTGATTATTCCTCAATTGCTGGGGAACTGGCCCTCCATATGGCCATCTGCCTCACTGGACTCTGCCCATTACCACCTTCAACTGGACTTGCTCATCCCTGATAATCATCTAATTTTTTTAAGAAAGGTTTTTAAATATACTGTGTATCTGAGATGAAAATATTAAAGCCCTCTTGCTTTTCATTGTGTAAGTTTTTAAAAATTCCACTTGATAACTCTGAACATCTTGGCTTAATTATCTTTAAAAAGTAATAGAAAAATGCCAGATAAGTTGGGTAAAGCAGTGGTAATACCAAGGCAAATTAGGATATGCCTATCCACTTCTCTTATCAGAAAGAGATCACTAATGAAAACTGTCTTATGTAGTTGGGAGATTTGGGGTATTATTTATGTTACCTGAAATCATTGAGTTCTCTAAGTTGTCCAGTATTGCCTAAGGATGTAAATTATATAACCATAAATATAGAAAAAAAATACAGGTTTTGAAACTTGGATTACTGCAAAAGGAAGAGGAATCTTTATGAAATTAACCAAAGGGAAAGGGCTGGAGTCAAGGGTGACTGTAAATCAATTAAGAGTATATGTGGGAGTATACCAGATATTTTCTTTCATTTCATTTATTGGCTAAAAAGTGAATCTTAGTATTGTTCTGGCATTTAGTTATCTACATTTTAGCTGTTTGAAAAAACCTACATACTTAGCTATTATTTTAAATTCAAAAGAATCTTGAATTCTGTATTATTTTAGGTATTAGGATTGCCCTATGTGACCAAGCTGTGGCTCTGGTTATAGATTTAGGGACTCAGAAAAAACAAACAAACAAATAAACAAACTTTAGTCTTTACACAGGTGCTTATCTTATCATGGGAGACCATCTTGTGTGAAGTTAAGAAACTTAGACTCTAGAGTCAGAAAATCGGGGTTCATTGTGTTCTCCTGCCACCTACTTGATGAGGCAATTGAACTTTCTATGCCTCAGAGGCCTCTGTGTAATGGGTAATCATTGTGACTAGTCCAAGATTTTTTGGTGAGGATGAGTGGGAAAAAGTCAATTATATCCCTTATGGAGCTACCACTATACATTAGCGGTTATAACACTAATGTCCCACTTTCTTGGAAGTGTTATCTACTGATATGCAGAAAAAAAGAGAGATGATACAACTTCACAGGGATGATATTTTATCACAGTAAGAAGAAAAGTTTGTGTGTGTGTGCATGTGTGCACAATATTCTACTGACCTCTTGGATAACTTGACGGTTGTGGGCTTTTAGGATTTAAAAAAATGAGAATTAAAGTTCCCAACTCAGGAATATATTTTAAATCAGTTATAAACAAAGAAATAATGTCATAATTTTGCATGTGTCTGTGGGGGATGTGTGTGTGTTCATTGACATAATCTCACAGGTATTTACACTTGTCAAAACTCATCAAACTGTACATTTAAGATCTATGCATCTTATTGTATCTAAATTATACATCAGTGAAAATGTAATTTAAAAATTTAAAAACTCAAACAAGTTCTTTGAGACCTGAGATTGTTCAGAGTCTTCAATGTTCAGAGCACAGTCCCTGGTACCTAGTAGATGATTAATAAATATTTGTTAAACTGGGAATCAAATCCAATGTGTTTTTGACTTGATTAAGTTATCTCTACGGTATCTGCTGGATCTAATAAGCAGTGACGAGGGCTGTCATGAGTACTTTTTTATTTCATTTATTCTTAAAATTTATTTTTATTTGTTTTTCATTAACAAATAATTATATATGCATATATATTTAGGGTACAATGTGTTGTTTTTATATATGTTGACTTTTTTTAAGATTTTTTTTCTATTTTTTATTTTATTATTATTATACTTTAAGTTTTAGGGTACATGTGCACAACGTGCAGGTTTGTTACATATGTATACATGTGCCATGTTGGTGTGCTGCACCCATTAACTCGTCATTTAGCATTAGGTATATCTCCTAATGCTATCCCTCCCCACTCCCCCCACCCCACAACAGTCCCTGGTGTGTGATGTTCCCCTTCCTGTGTCCATGTGTTCTCATTGTTCAATTCCCACCTATGATTTTGAGGTTGGCTCTTGTGGATCTCATTTTTTGTGCTTGTGATATGGGAGGGAGGGAGAAGATGCCCTTCTCTGAGCTCCACACCAGTTCTAAGATGCTAGAATTCTCAGGTTTTCTATTCCTAGTCTACTATGTTTGAGGATGAAAAAACTTTGCTCTCTGGGAGTACAAAACACAGCTCCAAAGCTGGACTGGATGCAAACTAGAATGAATCCAGAGATGCAGAGCAGCTCTCCCCTGCCCCAGCCTCACACGTGGATACACATGGTATTTGGCCTCTTTTCCCCTTCCATTTCAGTGGAGTTTCACTCTATTCCAGCTGCAGGATAAACAAAGCATTTATCCCAGTCAATTTTAACAGCCTTCTCTTTGCACATTTGCATATAGCTTAACTTTTATACAGCCATGGGAAGCTCATAAAATCTCAGCCTGGGCTGACCATTAAAAAAAAACAATGGATTTTTATATATTTCTGGGTTTGCATACTTCCTGGAAACAGTAGAGGAACTGCAGGAGCCTTTAAAACTAATTAACAGCCCCCTGTTGGGGACATGAGCCTCAGCAGTGATTTATCCTGTGTGGGATTGCAGACCTGAGCAGGAGAACTTCAAAAGCTGTGTGCAGATCTGAAGGGACTTATGAAGTGGTGTTCCTTATGACGCACACCTCCCATTACCCACTTTTTGGTAGAAAGTGCAGTAGAAATATTTAATACATCTCTATCCTAATAGGAGAGGTAACAACAGGTAATTCTTTGCTATAATGTGTTTCCTACCACTCCAACCTCCCAGAAAGTATGGTAAGTTTTCCCTTCTTCCTATAAATGTTACTGCATGTTTTAGAAATTCAGGTAAAAACGATATTCCTGCTGCAGTCTGTGGTGCTTCTGACATGTTTTAAAACATGTGTGACTTTAGGACCTATTGTAGTTATACGATTTGTAGCCCTAACAGTTTCCTTTGCTCTTGCTAAGAGAATGATCTGATGCCGTGAAATAGTAGACTTTAACAGTACCTTTTCCCTCAGGTAATTCTGTAGCTGCAGAAGCAGAATGATTTGCAATGTCTAATTTTCTCCCTAGAAGTCCAAAAAAATAGTTATTAAAAGCTTGGAGAAGGGAGTGGCATAGAACATGGTTGTTTTCATTCCTACCAACTTCTCTGGTGCTTCTTTCTCAGATAAGGGAGTTTCTTACTGATCAGCAGTGGCCAGATAGATTGGAGATCAAGCTTGAAAAACTCCAAAATAATTTTCAGGTAGAATAGAGGCATATAAGGATTCCTGGGAATGAGCTGAAGAAGATTCAGGATGACCGAAGGAAATTTGAATCCCATCTGCATCTCATGCCTCTGGGTAACCACAAGAAGTTGCTACAGCTTTCCAATCCTCTGTTTCTTCATCAATACAATGAAAATTGAAATGAGAATCTTTTTGTGAGTCCTAGCCCTGTGGACATCCCACAAACAGGTCAAAAAAGTCAAAAATGGACTAATAAATGAAAGAAACTTTGACTGTAAGATTTCACGGATCAGAGAATTATACCACATTTGAACCATCATCAACTGCTCCCACCCTTCTATGAGAGGTGATACTTCTGGCTACCTAGGGGGAATCTCAGTACCTCTATGACAGATATATCAGGTGCCATTGACCCTGGGAGCTTGGTACTCATTGGTGAGCATGGCTGGTGAATGCCATGTGAATAACACCGTGGCATGTTATACATTTGTGAAAAAGGTATTGTAATTGGCTCATGACAGTGAGCTCAACTTGTATAACTGCTCATAAATTGTGGCTAAGGCACCTGTCTGGGTGGCATGAAGAAGTACTTACAATGAAATAAATGCTTTTAATAATAGTGCCGCAAATGCAATGATCAGCTTGTCTCTAAAGGTTTTACAAAGAACTTTGTTTTTTTTATTTGCTTAGTTAGGCTTTACAGTGCAGACTAAATTTTCTTAATTGATTTTATTCCTTGTTTCACCAACATCTCATATTGCAATGCATTGCACATTACAACATAGCTTCAAAGCCAGAAATCATCCCTGATTTAGATTTATGGGAAGAGTTTGCATACATTTTACAAACAGATTTTCTTTTAGGTTCTAGCAAAGTGCATTTATATTGTATACAAAAAAAATGAAATATCTATTTTGCAATGCTTTTACTTAAATTCCTAATGAAATCATTATAAGCACATTTATAAGCACTGTAGTTTGGCTGCCCATGTAACAATTCATCTGACCCACTTTAAAGCCCTAAGTCTTACCTGAACTAGGTGATACTGTAGGAGCTCCTTGACCCTTGTCTTGTGGCTTTGGTATTATCTCTACTGGAGGAAGGGTCTATTTAGTTTTTGTTTGCTTTTATTATTTCCTTCAAATCTCTGGCTGGTTATTGCATTTCTGTATCATTTTGAAATTTATAGTCTATTTAATAGCATTTTTATTTTTTATGATTATGTCAGTCTTACCCATAAGAGGGTCTTAGGGAATATGTTTTGAGATTCTTTCAATAGCCTCCACATCTAGAAACTACCTAACTGAATTACGAGTTTTATTTTTTTACCAGAGGGAGCTATGAAACAGAAATGATTTTAGATGTAGATTATAATAATAATTTGGAGGCATCTTTATGATCTGTGAGTTTCATATCACTCTCATGCCTAGCACTCTCTTTGATTATTACTGTTCTAATAGAGCACTACAAAATTTCTATACGTATCCAATAACAACCTCTACATCAGGAGTAGCAAGGGTATGCTTGATACCGAATTGTTCACCTAAATGTCAGGAACACGTTGTTCAAATTATCCCAAAGGGCAGTGCAAATTGGTGTTTCTTCTTCAGAGATTAAGTATTTACAGAGCCTGAAACTATTATTAATAGAAGGGAAAAAGATAATTTATTGGAAGCATATAGGGTGATTTCAAGGAATCCAAAAACATGAAGTCCCATTGTGCAGGACCAGGTCGAGAAGCTAGAAAGTTATCGTGGAACAAGGTGCCCCTTCACACCCCAACTTGCAACTTGTGATAACAGATCACCCACGCAGATGAATACACACATATGACAGTAGAATAAGAGGAGACCCATAATTAGAGATGAGATAACACTCTAGAGCCTGTACCAGGTTCCTGAGTCCCCTTCCAGGTGCTTCACCTATCCTGACTCATTCAGTCATCACAATGAGAGAATAAACTGAGTAGGGAGAAGTTATGTCACTTGCTTAAGGTCACACAAACTGGCAAATAACAAAAAGTAGAGTCCTGACTTGGTCCCAGCTGCCTGGCTCCAGACATGACTTCAGTTTTTCATTATTCTCGGCCAACCTGCCTTTTCTACTTTGCTGCTTCAGCCTTTACCAGACTGTCCCAGCCCCAATATTGCACATATTCCAAGTTCAAGTGTCTGACAGAAATTGACTACATTCTCTGAGTTCCAATTTTAACTTCCTGGGAGATACAGTCTTTTAGGCAAAACTGGGTAAATAGTTCAATCTGCGATGGTGGGAGAGATGGGTCATCCAGTTCTGACCTGGCTGCTCCATTTCACCAAGCATGACCAGGAGCAATTCTCTTAAGAGAAGTATAGCCTAAGCAGTTACCCACCAAAGCTGTCTGTTATAATTTGTAACTTATAATATGAATATCATGGGGCATTGCGGGCTCACACCTGTAATCCTAACACTTTGAGAGGCTGAGGTGGGAGGATTACTTGAGGCCAGGAGTTCAAGACCAGCATGGGCAACATAGTGAAACCCTATCTCTACTAAAAATAAAAATAAATTAGCCAGGCACAGTGAGGTATACCTGTAGTCTCAGCTACTTGGGGGGCTGAGGCAGGAGGACCACTTGGGCCCAGGAGGTTGAGGCTGCAGTGAGTCATGGTCATGCCACTGCACTCCAGCTTGGGCAATAGAGCAGGGCCTTGTCTCCAGAAAACAACCAACAAAATAATATAAATATCCACACCTGAAGTGCTCATTCACATGATCCCCTGTACTTCTCTATATATCTTAAATTATTAATTTCAAATACATCTAATTTACATTCCCTGAAGAAAAATTTTTGACAAGATGAATTGTGATGTATGCATTTCTAAAGTTCATTTTGCCTTTTTGCCTTCATTGCCCTCCAGATTAAAGTAAATTTAGACACCAAATAAACACAATGAAGCTCTAGCAGTCTTAAGTTTCCCTTAAAGATAACTGCTAAAATTAATTACTCTGTTTAATTCCAACAATCAATCTATGAGGCAGAATTGATACTATTCCCACTTTAACAATGAGAACTCTGAAGCAAAAATTTTAAATTAATGTCCTGGTTCACGCAATTAGTAAGTGGCAGACTCCAGATCCAAACCCAGTCTGAATGCAGGGCCTGAACTTTAAATTTTTACACTGCACCAACTGAAAACTAGCACATATCTGTGTTACTCATTTAACCCAGTAT
The DNA here is from genome assembly GCF_000001405.40 of Homo sapiens. Classification (NCBI taxonomy): domain Eukaryota; kingdom Metazoa; phylum Chordata; class Mammalia; order Primates; family Hominidae; genus Homo; species Homo sapiens. The sequence continues at coordinate 22,023,650 of NC_000002.12, read as the reverse complement.
TTGTGAAGCATCCCTACCAGAAAATACCATTGCAATCTCAGGCATGCCAGTCACTCATAGATCAAAATCTGTCCTTAGTAATTTCATCTGCTAACTCCTAGAAGAATGGCTCTGTACATATCCTCATGTCTTTGTGGACACCTGGTAGCAGTTGACCCATCTCTGTTCAGTTATGGGAACTGGAAGGAAATATATCTTAATGGTCTGAGTTCACATCACCTAGATTGGGATTCTAAGTATGCTTTTTCAAATTTTTGTAATTTTGGGCAAAGAAGCAAACCACTCTAATATTCATTTGTATAACTCAAGTGTAGATAGCTATCTCTCAATTTCTGTGTGGATTAAATAAGGTATGCTACATGTTTAATTTGGCTGCTAATAATAGAGGATGCTCAGTGCGCTGTTCTCTCTCAACTCTCGTTCTCCACTACAAGTATTTGACATCACTGTCCTCACTGGCCCTTGCACTTTCAAACATTAGAATCTGTCTCAGCACTTCTTATTTAACTGTCTGGCTATTCAGCCTGCTGTCCTGTATATCTTCTGCTGTGAAATACCTTTATACCTTCTATAATATGTGAGGGAAACTCAAGGCCTCACAAATCTTCCTGAATTCTCTGCATAGGAAAGCTGAAGAGGCAATATTGTGATATTTTGACTGGTCTGTGGATTTGAACAAGGACCAAGAAAGCATATTCCAAAGATAGTCCAATGTAATAGAAGGACATTAGATAATCTGTAGCTTTTTTGAAGGAACTTGAAGGAACCATTAAATATACTCAGACATCACTGATTTTCCATGGGTGGAATATTTAGGAAATGTGCCACAATATTCTAAAATCATATTTTATAATCAGCAGAATCTGTGAAGTTTTAATGTGCATGAACAATACTAAAGACCTGATTTCTATTGCCCTTTTTAGTTTTCATGGAATAGTTTTATATAAACTCTTCTGTTGATTCTTACAAAAATGATTGAAGTTTTTGTTATAACCCCCATTTTATTGATGGAAGAATTAGTTTCCAGAAAGATTAATGACTTCTCTCATTTCATTGTTCAAATGTGGGCTTCCATGTCTTGCAGAATAGGGCTTAACATCATGGAGTTATAATTAAATGGATGGGTTTTCATCTAAGATTGCTGAGTGTCAAAAATAAAAGGAATAATTTACAGAGATGTGAATAAGTTGGGGAATATAGATCTCACACAAAAAGAAATGTGGACTTTGTCAACTGCCAGCACTGGTTTCCTTATTTGAAAATTTCACTCACAACAAATCTACAATTTGCTTAGCTTTTCCCTATCCTTTTCACTGCCTCTGGAACTATAGGAAAAGTCTGGAGCAGAAACAAGAATGAAAGTTTCAGCCCCCTGTTGCCTTACATAGATAAAGCAAAACCTTCCTATAACCCCCATGGACTTCACTTCTCTGGCATAATGTGAACTGTTTGCTATGTGTCTACCCCTTCCTGCAAGGGACTCTAAGAAAGAAAGTGTGGAGAATGGGGCTGGGAATACTGCTGCCTCAAATAAAACTACTCAATTCTTAGCAAAAGAAAAAAAAGGGAGGGGGAAGAGTTGTGGATTTTAGCGGGGTCAGCAAGAGTGTCTATCTCACAGAGCTTGTAGAGATATTTTATAATATATACATTTTTGTTGTATAATTGGCATGTGATAAATCATTATGCATAATATTAATATTAAGGTAATTAGTGATAGCATTGTTTTCCTTTTCCATGGAAAACAATTACCTTTGAAAGAAAAATTGTTAATAATAGTCATCAAAATTGAAAATGCTACCTTCCAGTATTACTTTGTTTGTTTCCTAATATCTTTTAATTCATTTTAGCTTCATAATATTCCTGGAATAAAGATAGAGAGTATCAATATTATATTTGTCAACAGGAAAACTTATCCCCATAGACATTAAGGGAATTGCTTAAATTAATGGCAGAAGTATATATTATTTTTACTTTGAATTTCACAGTATGATTCGAATTACATCTATTAGTACTTAAGAGCTACCCCTTCCAGATGGATAGAGGGAGTACTGTACATGATAAACATTGGATATTTTTATTAATAACTTGTAGAAAAATTAATAGATAATATTTCCTTGAAATAGAACATTTGGCAATTGTAAAAGTGCATTCATTATTTGATATCCGAAAAACATAAAGGAGATATGGCAGGTGAGACTCTAATTTAATAGGAGGAAACTGAGACACTGATTGTATGTGTGATCTGCCCAAAGTCACTCAGATTATAAATGCAAGAGCTTGGCAGGACACTAGTCTTCTCAATTTTAGCTCAGTGGCTGTTTCACTAATTCTTGCTGCCCGGTAGGAACATAGACTTATTTTTGTCATTACCTCTTATGAAAAACAATATTTTGTAAAAGTTAGTAGTTCTGAACTCTTTTAAGTCAAAGCTTGCAAAAGTCAGTTTATATTTAGAATATACACATTTTATTGGGCCTCCACACCGTGGATTATGTTGGGAAAATATGATTAATTGCCAATATTTAGAAATTATATTTTATATACAATCTTGGATTTCTTGCATCTCTCCAGTTGATCTATATGTGAACCACATTCCTAAGTGGTATTAAAGGGCTGAACTACAGAACAGGCATGAATTCCTCAGTTTTCTACAGGTCCCTTAACTCTCTTTGGGGCCCCTAATGAGGAAACTAAAGTCATTTCATTCATTTAATTTATCAGCAGGCAACTTTGTGACCCCTGCTTAACTTATAACAAGTCACTTCCTGATATGGAACACTATAGTAGATAATATAGTATTTTTCTTTTTCATTTCTGATATTTCTTTGAGATCTTTGTGGATTAAAATAGAGAAAGGAAAATTTGTGTGTTTGTTTGTTTTTCAAGTCAGAAAAAAATGTATTTACCCTCAGTCTGCTTGGCAGTGACTAGCGTATGCTAACTTCATTCAGCCACTGCTGGATATAGATTTGACATTGGCAGGCTAGTCTGGTAAGGAAAAGTGAAGGTGAATGAGATATCTCTGAAAGTAAGAGAAAGCATGCAGACTGTAGTATGGAACACAGGCTGATTCGGCATAGGCCCATCTGCCACCAGAGCTTAGATTTAGGCCATTTGCAGCCCATTGTTTGACTGAGAAAGCCATACCTATCCTATTACTAAGTTTACAGTCAAGTAGAGCTTCTTAAAGGAGTTGACTCACTGCTTGTTTTTCCCCCACATAAATATAATTAAATATGAAAGGTGGTGATGGTGGTTGAACATCTGTCTGTAGCTTTCAGATTTTTCACAGTCTGTTGATTAGGTTATGTTTTGTATTATTCCAATGTCCACAGCTGTCAAGTGAAATGGGAGCAGGCCTTCCAGAATCAGGGAGCTGAGGTCTATAGCAGCTCTTCACGTTCCACGTGGTAATAGTTGGTGACAGCTTCGCCTCTGAACAAATTGTTTTCCGTTGGTTGATGGGTCTCAGCTGTTCAAACCTGGGAAGTGATGAGTTTTGCCTTCATTTGGAAAGTAAGATAAGATCTGTTCAAATAGAGTTGCTGGCTTCTTTGGTTGTTATTGTTTAATTTTTTTAAAATTGTGGGTATGTGTGTATGAACACGTAACGGGACTCGGGTCCATTTTTGACAGCAAGTTCTCATCTTACCAAAGCATAATATCTGGAGCCTTCAAAGGTTTGTGCTGTTCCTGATATATGGGAGGGAGGGATAAACATAAGGGCAAAAGGAGCATTTCAGACAATATCCCTTCTCCCAAGCCCTCTGAGATTGATTTCTCCTCTTGATTCAGGAGCATTTGTTCTCAGGCTGATGTCTTTTCCTCATGAGTGAGGTTAGCTCACACCAATATCCTTGGGTAACGCCAAACAGTGGTGTGCTAATTAAAATGGTAAGATCGGGAAACACAGAGGTTTTTCTTTCAAAGGTGTCAGATCTACAGACTTAATTTCATATGCTGTGAGTGTGCACGCATAGCACCAAAGTTGAATATGTCTGAAATGAAAAGGTCTGGAAGATTTCCCCAGTGCCTTCATATTTCCTTCTCCTTTCTCTGTATTAAAATAGGGTCTTAGAAAAGTATCTAAACTGACTTTGACCCAAAGGTATAAATACTGAATAATTTATTGGTTACTTGCACTTTAATATGAAACGATTGTTAATTATTACTGTTCAATGGAATTTTCTGCCATGATGGGAATGTTATATAGCTGTCTGTCCATGTCTACAGCTACTGGCCACACATCCCTATTAAACACTTGAAATGTAGCTGATATAATGGAGAGACTGATTTTTCAGTTTTGTTTTTATTTTATTTCAATTAACTTCAAATTAAAATAGTCACATGTGGCTGGTGCCTACCATAAGAAATGCAGAAATGAAACATTCATGATGAGATTTAAAGCTTTTGGTGATTCCAAATGAGGTATGTATATTTAGGAGAGCTTAATTAGCCAGGCATTACTGAAATCATACCTTTGCCGACTGAAAGTGTAGCACTGACCATTTATAGTGTACACCCCAGGAATGAGTAAATCATAGGCAACAAGATATTTGAAACATGAATGCATGAATGAATGCACAGTAATAATAAATAAGACAATTTGTAGTATCAGAAAACATTTGTTTGAGCCAGGCACTTTGAACATCACGTTTCTTGCATCATCTGTGCAACAATCCTATCAAGTTCCTATTATTGCCATCCTTATTTTGCAGATGAAGAAACTGAAGTGTAGAAAAGGCCTTGCTCCAGGCTAAAAATGCTAGTAAAAGTTGGAATTACCTCTTCAGCTTGGTTCTGCCTGTCTCTACCGCTTGCATTCACAATTAAAGTTACTACTGTGAGGATGAGCTTTAAAGTCAGCTTACGTTAGGGACAATACATGAATCTCGTATCTGAGCGCAGCGTTGTAGATCTCCAAGGTCCCTTTCTTTTCTTTCTTTGATGATTACATTTAAAATAAAATAATGTCTAGATGCAACTAGCATAGAGTAAATACTCCATAAAAAGCAGCTGCATTATTTTTACTATCATCGTAATTACATGATATTTCTATAAACTCTACTTGCATATGTGATATTAATCAGAAGGGTCATTGAGTCATAAATGAACCTCATAAGTGGTTCTGCTCTTAATGTCACCAATGACAAAAATACCATGAAATCATGGTTGAAGATTTAAGCGGCCCAAAGAGAGTAGCTAAAAACATTCTGTCTTAGAAAGAAGAGCCATCGCTGTATGATTCTGTTCTCAACTCAAAATCAGTAATGGTATTTATGAATAGTTTTACCAACAGCACTGAATTTTAAAAAAAATCTTATATCTCATTATCTAAGGATTGCATGGTGAGGCTAGATGAAAGAGTGTATGTAAATGATATTTAATTATTAATTGGAGCAGGAATTGCATCTAGCAACATTTCCACTGAGTATAATGATTACTTTCTGCTGTTCATTCTCCCTGAAATGTGTTTCCCGGCATTCCCACCCATAGGACCTGTCAACCACTGCACTAGGCACGGGAAGTTGGTGAAAACTGATCTACTAGTTATATGAAAAGGAGAAAAAAAATCCACAAAGCACTTAGCTGTCAGCCATATGATCTGAAGTCAATTCAATGGAATTGATTTGTTCTAATTCTTCAGTATTTCTAATTGGTCCCAAGTGAATTGCCAGTTAGGATTCATAACATTAAATTCAGGTTAACCATTTGATTGCTGATCTTTGCATTATCAATATATTAAAATATTGAGTGGCCTCTTCAATTGGCCACTTCTTAGTGATCACATTAACACTTTTCTTTATTCCTTTGTGTTGCTAAGAATGGTTTTCATGACACACAAAAAATCAGTGCGCTTCTAGTAGGTTGGCAAAGCAACTGAATGCCTGAGCGGATCAAAGTACTGATCTCTTTTAGTCTCTTTTGGACATTTCATTGGTCTTGTAGTAAGGAATACCTGAAGGTGTGTTTTGCTCTACAATGAGATGGAAATGGAAATAGGAAACTACAACTAGAGACCCTCAGGCCTGTGAGGCTAGGAAAACCAAGCAGAATTACATAGACTGGTTAGGGAGCAGGTGTATCAGTTGGGAAGCTGAGCCTTGGAAAATATTAAACTTCTGAGTCAGGTGAGAGGAACATTCCAAGCCCACAAATCTGTCTGAGTTAGAAGCAGAGCTGAGGCCATGTGGCAAGGATGAGTTCAAGTCCTGTGCTAGAGAGGTGCGCTTCTTCTGTGGAAACCTGGGTACATCTGAGACTGCATAAGCAGGACACCAGATTCAGTTTATTTAGTACACCTTTTTTGGTAAAAATATAAATATCTATTCAATCATCTCCTTTGTTTATATTCACATTGATAAGACAAACAAATGAGATTGGGAAGCTTTTGTAATTAAGCATGTGTCAACATCAGGCTGAAAGATGTAGTTGGTGCACTGTACTCGCCCAAAAAAGGTATGAGTGTATTTCCTTTGAAGTAAACAGAGACCATGCTAATAAGTTAAAAGGATGGAAAGAAGGAATAATAAAACTTTAAAACAAGGCCAGGCGCAGTGACTCATGCCTGTAATCTCAGCACTTTGGGAGGCCGAGGCAGGTGGATCACAAGGTCAGGAGTTCAAGATCAGCCTGGACAGATGGTGAAACCCCGTCTTTACTAAAAATACAAAAAATTAGCCGGGCGTGGGGGTGGGGTGCCTGTAATTCCAGCTACTCAGGAGGCTGAGGCAGAGAATTGCTTAAACCTGGGAGGCGGAGGTTGCAGTGAGCCGAGATCGTGCCACTGCACTCTAGCCTGGGTGACAGAGTGAAACTCTGTCTAAAAAAAAAAAACTTTAAAACAAACTAAAGCACAGGCTGAATCAGCAGCATTTAGTTGACTAAGCAGGAGGATGGTCTTTCCTTCTTCTTCTCTATCAGGGTTCTTTGTTTTGTATTAATTTTGTTTTTCTCATTCATTTATGTTGAAATTATTACTCAGTATCTGTCTGCATTTTAATTTTGTAAACTCAGTTTTTCAAGGTCTATCTATCAATCATGGCTTTAAGATTTCTGCCATTGATGTGTTGCTTAAAAGTGTTCTGCTCATCAGAAAAAAAAGTTGGAAGAATATGCTTAATCATATCAACTTATTTTTTACTAGGGCATATTTGATCACATTTTCTAAGTTTGAAACTTCAATGCATTCTTTTAACATTTTTGGTATCAGATATAGTTTGAGAATCTTATATGGTTTTCTTCTCCCAGGTACTTAGCTTTTGTATTGTCTTTAAAATTCTTTCTCCCTGGATTTAAAGGGCTTATCTGCCCATACACTATGATTATGTATATTTTTTTACTCTGAATTTTCCAGCATATGACGCAAATGTTCTGCCTGTTCTTTGCTTAACACTGCATGCTTTAGTTACTGTAGCTTTAAAATATAATCTTTTCTTAGAGAAAATCCACCCTTATCACTCTTTATTTAAAATAAAAACTAATTCGCAACGTTTAGACAATTATTTTTCCATATAAATCATTCATATAATTATTTGTTTTAATTTATTAAGAAAATTATGTCAGGATACAATTAGTTTGCATTATATTTATGGGTCTTCCTTTCTTGCTTTTTTTAAATCTCTTTGATTTTTTTTACAAGCTTTATAATATCAATTCTGAACATTTAAGTTAATGTTTTGTCTTTATTCTCTATTCAGGTCTTTTTCATGGACCTCAGTAAGGTTTCTTTGTATAAATTCTGTGCATTTCCTGAGAGCCTCAGGGAAGTTCCCCTAGTTCTTAGCTCAAATGATTAAAAATGGAAAAATGGTCCTTCTCCACAGGCTTCAGTATGTTTCTCCTCTTCCAACTTTTCAGTGGCATGGTGGAAACAATTGTAGGGTATTTTCAGTGAGCAAAAAGAATAAGGAATAATGAAACTGGTTGCCTTGGATGGAAATTAAGAGTCTTATTTGTACTGAGACTCAAGGGCATTACTCAATGAGTATGGGATTAATTCCTGAGTTGGCTAAATGACCTCAGAAGAGAATTCAGAGTACACAGCTTCCAAGATATGTATGTGTCTCCCTAGTTATGTTATTTCTCCCATTTTCTTTTCCTTAATATCACCTATGTCCCTTAGGATACAAACAAACAAACAAATAAGAAGTGTACTATTAGTATGTCCTCAAATGGCAGCTCAGAGCATAAGCAAATGACTCACATGAGATGGAAAAGAGATCAAGGGAATTCAACTAAACCATATCAAAACAAAGGATTTGGGAAAAGTCTGTTTAGCATAAAGGCAGCATTTCCTAGCTGCTTTTGCCACTCAGGTGTAATCATGCAACTAAGTTTTGGCTGATGGGATGTAAGCAAGAAGAGTATGCACGAATTCCAGGAATTAAGTCAAAGGAGCACAGTTTGCTAATTTGCCTACATTTCTTCCTATGGTGCCTGGGATGTTGACATGATGGCTTCCTTCAGATTTCTTCACCGTGAAGGGAAAATAAATTATTATCTTGTTAACTCATTGTTATTTTGGGTTTTGCTGGCAATTGCAGCTGAACCTGATTTTTAACAAACGTAATTTATGTCTTTTGCAGGAAGAATACATAAAAACAGCCACCACCAACCACACATATCCTCATGAAAATATTGAACTTCATGAATGAAGAAAGAAATTTTCAGTCACTCAGGCAGAAAAAAGCAACAGTCTCTCGAAGTTTAAAAAAAGTCAGGTTCACTTTCTTTTTTTTTTTTTTTTTTTTGAGACAGAGTCTTGCTCTGTCGCCCAGGCTGGAGTGCAGTGGCGCCATCTCGGCTCACTGCAAGCTCCGCCTCCCGAGTTCACGCCATTCTCCTGCCTCAGCCTCCCGAGTAGCTGGGACTACAGGCGCCCGCCACCACGCCCAGCTAATTTTTTGTATTTTTTAATAGAGACGGGGCTTCACTTTCTAATTCTCTGGAGCAATATTGAGTTTTTTAAAAGCGGCTTAGGTCTACAAGTTCAGTGGAAAATAGTACATGACTGAAAAATCATAACAAGATAAGTTTTCTTTCATACTTAAATGTTAGAAGAAGACATTGTCAAACAGGTTTAAGCTCAGGGAACTATTCTACCTGAGAGCCAGTCCTGGAAAAATGTACCAAAAAAAATAAATAATAAATAAATAAATAAAAGCAAAATAAAACCAAAGCCAAAAAAAAATCACCTTAACCATGACATATAGCCAAAACCATGAATAGGAAGACCATAATAAAGAGGATTGTTGATGAGTGTTGATGTCTTTTAAGTATTACACTACAAGTAAATGACATTGGAAGAAATGACGTATTTAATCTCAGGCATTGTAAATGACTAATAAAAATCCCACAGTGGGAAAAGGAAAAGTGGGAGAAATCATATGCTTTACTTTTCATTCCAGGCATATAATCCAATGGTCTTCTTGATGTTCATCTTAGGTATCCTAAATTCATCATGTGTAAAACTAGATTTACATACTTTCTCCCAAATTCGGTCTCTTTCCATTGTTCCCTATCAAGCAGTATTCATGCCATTCACTCACAAACTTGTTTACAAGACTTCAGTGGTCACCTTCCGGAAGGAAACGAGTGTTCCCGGGGCTCCAGCACAGGCACTTGCATTTGTTTTCCCTCTGTCTGTGTATTTCTCTCTCTCACTTTACCCCTTTTACAATCCCCCTGCTTATATGTGGGCCTGCCGTAAAACGTACTTTAACTTCTATTTCTTGTGTGGGTAGGATCTCAGGGTTGTGGCTCCTACAAGGTCCGAGGTCCTCCATATGCCACCCCATGGGTAAATTCAATTTAAGGATTAAAGAGTGAGCCTCGAGTCCAAGTCATGTTCCCAATATAGTTTTACCAAAATAATCACTGCGTTGTGCCTCATTTGTATTCCTGCGTAAGTTCTCAGTGTGGTTCAGAAACAAGAGAAAGAGGCTTATGATTAATCTCTACTTTCTGAAGCCACATCATTATCTATTGTTTCTGCCTGTGTGGGTGAAGGACATTTTACCAACTCACTGTAATTAAAACTTTTGAGAGTCTTTTTTAGTCATTTAAGTGTTTCTCTTGTACAGGGCATATGAGGTTCTGATTTGTGGTCCACCTGATAAAGTTTCTTTCAATTGGAGCTTTTAGGCAATCTATACATGCACTTGTATGACAGATATATTTGGCTTCAAATTTTTAAATCATTTAGTTATTTTTTAAATTTTTCTCAATGTGGTGATTGCTTTGTTTTGTATATGTGTTCTGATAATTTTGGATGTTTATACATTTTCTCCTAGTGGCTTCCTATAGGTAACTGTAACTATATAATTTACTTTTTAAAAAATAATCCATTCAGGAATAATAACATTTATATAATTTTTACTTTCTCTTTATTTTTCTTGTTCTCTTAATTACCTAATTTTAGTGAACTTTTGGTTATAAAAAATGAAGAAATTAGCATCCCTGTTTTCCACCATTTGTTGAGTTACAGGATTCTTACAGTTTCAGTATATATGAATAAATGTTCTCTTTTTAAAGCACAATCCCAAACTCGGTTGTGTAATCAAATAAATTGGACATCATTTCACTATAGGGTGAGTTTTAATTTTCAGGAGGTTAATAGTTTCTTTTTTTAAAAAAAAGAGCATGGGAGGATTGTCTTCAGGTGAGCTTTAGGATAATTGTGTTCAGTTCGGTGACAAAGAAAAGTACTAATGTAACAATTTTAGTAACCACCATAATAGAAGAATAGATTTCTAAATTTCTACCTTACTCCTATGACTAGTTTGTGAATTGGTCAGTGCCTGTAGGGAAGCAGGAGGAATGGCCGTTACAACAGACAGAATTCTTACAGAGAAGCAGTATAAAATGGTAGTTAAAATAATGAGTTTTGGGGTCAGACTGCCTGATTTGAAGCCTAGATCTGCCACCTACTATGTGAGAAAAATTACTGATATTTTCTATAAAATGGAGATAAAAGTTAGATCAAAAGTTAAATGAGAAAAAAATAACTATGTAGAAGAATGTTGTCGCATAGTATATACTCAGTAAAGGCTGCTCATTATGGTATTATCCATTTCTTAATGTTTGCTAGTCTGTTAGATGAAAAACGGTGGCTAGTTTTTATTTGAATTTGCAGTTTCCAGACCAACATGTCTTAAAAATATTTAAAAAACATGTTTATTCGGCATTTGTATGCCTCTATGTGTTGTCTGTTCATGTTCTTTGTTCATTTTTCTCCTGAGTTATCTTTTTTGAATGAATTTGTTGGAGATATTCTTACATTAAACATGGTAACGTTGTGTATTATATACTATTTTCAAATGTTTTCACTCAGTCTCACGTTTATAATTTTAAAATTAAAGTAACATATATTCAGAAAAATGTACAGCTTAATGAACTTTTACTATCTGAGCACCTCTGTGTAGCTAGCACTCAAATCACAGATAAAAGGAAATATTTCAGCACCCCAGAAGCTCCTCTCCTGGTCCATTCAGTTCCCCACCTGACCCTACCGTAATGCTATCCTGACTTCTAACAGCAGAGATGAGTGTGTTGTCATGTTTCTGTACTTTGAATAAATGGAATCGTATGAAACTATACTAATTTGTGTCTGGCTTCTGTTATTTGTAATTTCATTTTGTTAAAGTATGGCATCTTTCATTTTAGAATAGCTTTTTTTAGAATAGTTTTCATTTTAGAACAGTTTTTTCTAAAATGTCTTAAGACTGCAGTTATGTGAATAAAGAAATAAGTTAACCTATGGCTGTAGTAAAGGGTGGACTAGTAAATATCTTAGAACAATGTGATGTTGAGTAATTTCACCTCCTCACGCAATGTTTTCCAGAAAAGAGAATAAAGTCCTTTTAGTCATTGGGATTCTAATTTTCAACAACATTGCAGCTAATCTCCATTATCTAGTTTTAAAGTTTTCGACAGTCTAGTTCTGATATACTCATCCATATTATGTCTTGTTCTTGGAAAGGGTCAATAAAGGCAAGTCTGTCATTATCGTCCAAACTCAACAGCCTCTTCTTTGTATCTTTCTCCTTCTCTCAAAATTGCCCTCTTGGTGCCCCTTCCCAGCTCAAGGCCATGTCACCCCCAATGCTCATCTCCACAGCCACCTGCCTTGCATCCAATGCATATTTATTGGGTAACTCCTATGTTTCACATAATACTTGGGTCCTGAGCATAAAAAGTAAATGAGCCAAAGTCATTGTTATTAATATGATCACAATCTAGTAGAAACATTATGTAAACACATAATTACAATAAAGTAAGTTTGGAAAATATGGACTGGGTATACAATTTGTATGAAGGGAAGAGTGATTTACATTGCATATGTCAAAACTCATTGACACTGTGAAGTGAAAGCATGACAGTGGGAGTGACAGATGATGACTTCTGGGAAAAGGAAACAGGTTGTGCAAAACCACAGAGGATTGAAACACTCTAGCAGTCACATGTAGGTGCCACTCTATCATCATTTGTAATGTAGAAATTGTTCCCATTTGAAAAGGGACCCAGGGAGCGTTTGAGCAAGATGTTGCAAAGGGGCATATATTTGGATGTAAGGCTGAGGAGGCAGGCAGGGACCATATCATGAAGGGATGTAGCTCATAGTGTCCGTAGAAGAGTGCTTGTGTTGTTACTGAGGTTCCAAGAGAATTCAAGGGGTGATTCTGTTTTGGGTAGGTCACTCTGCACTACTTATGACAGTTTTGAAGTGATGAGGTCCAGGGGAATAGTTGTGCCGTCAACTGCATGAAGGAATTCATCTGAACCCCTCTCTCACCAGAACTGTCAGTTAACTTGCTATCTGCCACCTCTTTCTCACAATAGACCCGTCCCAGGTGGATGCCACAATCTGGACTCTAATTTGCATGCCTGGCTGACTGAGAACTTTTGAAGAAAACACCATCACATGTGTGGATGACAGTGTGAATCCATGTCCACCTGCCCTTAGAAGAGCCTCAGCATCACCCAGCAATAATTTTGTTTGTTTTACTACCTGGTAGAATGACTCTGATTCTTCTGAGTTATTATTTCAAAATTTAGATATTCTTTTAAATTTCTTACTTAAACACATCCTTTTATTCTCAGTGGAGAAATTTGCCTGTTATTTCTTGAAGAAGATTGGAGGTTTCATGAATATTCCCTCTAACCACTTTCTGTCTTAGTCCATCTGCATTGCTATAAAAGAACACTTGAGGCTCGGCATTTTGTAAAGAAAAGAGGTTGATTTGGCTCGGGGTTCTAGAGGCTGTACAAGAAGCACAGCACCAGCCTCTGCTTCTGGTGAAGGTTTCAGGAAGCTTCCACGGATGGCAGAGGGCACGGGGAGCTGGCATATCACAGGGCAAGAGAGGGAGTAAGAGAGGGAGGGAGAGGGGATAGAGAGGGGAAAGGGAAGGGGGAGGGGGAAAGGGAGAGAGGGAGAGGGAGAGAGAGAGAGAGAGAGAGAGAGAGAGAGAGAGAGAGAGAGAGAGAGTGAGTGAGTGCCAAGCTCTTGAAAACAACCAGCTCTCACATGCACTAATATGGAGAGAACTCACTCATTACTGTGGGGAGAGCACCAAGCCATTCATGAGGGATCTGAAGCCATGACCTAAATGCCTCCCACCAGGCCCCACCTCCAGCATTGGGGATCAAATTTCAACATGAGATTTGGAGGGGACAGATATTCAAGCTTTATCAGTTCCTCTCTCCCACCAAGATAAAATTGTATATTTATAACTACCTTTACCTCCTTTTCCCAGGGTTTAGAGACAAGATGCATTTACCAGTCCTTATATCTTTCATGTTTTTATGCCCGTTATGAGAAAATCCTAGCTACTTATGCCCTTGACCTTGTATTCCCATACTTTCTCATAAATTTATTTCCTTCACTCACTCATGCTCTCCCCAATAGCTTCAATTTATCCTCTCCATTTGATTCACCTTAGATTATATTATTTGAGACCACCTCCTAAAATTAACACTAGGATCACCAGGATTACGTTGCTCTGCTAGATTTTGGCTTTATACATTCCAGCTTTACGTAGTGAAGAAGCTGTGAGCTACTAAAGAGACTTTCTTCCCTTTTTTTTTTGTGCTCCTGATATTGTTGAATACTGCCGTAGAAATGGATTACACTTCAATTCACCTCATGCATGCTAAAAGACACCTGTAAATGAGCACCCTTGCCTGCTGTTTTATTTATATCCATCTGAGTAATTTCCATAAGTCATCAGTTAAACATTCGTCCATCAATGTGTCATGGCTACATCTTGACTTCCAACCTTGAGAGTGCAAATAGGATAATATTAAGTGATCCTCCTATTCATATGTCCCTAGGGACAACTCTTTCTTTGCTTGTGGATACTTTTTGTTTTGTTTTGTTTGCTTTTTTTTTTTTTTTTTTTTTTTTGGAGACACAGCCTCACTCTGTTGCCTGTGCTGGAGTGCAGTAGAGCAGTAGTGTGATCTTGGCTCACTGCATCCTCTACCTCTCCGGTTCAGGTGATTCTCCTGCCTCAGCCTCCCAAGTGGCTGGGACTACAGGTGTGTGCCACCACACCTGGCTAATTTTTGTATTTTTAGTGGAGATGGGGTTTCACTATGTTGGCCAGACTGGTCTCAAATTCATGGCCTCAAGTGATCCACCCACCTTGGCCTCCCAAAGTGCTAGGATTATAGGCATGAGTCACGGCACCCTGCCACTTGTGGGTAGTCTTGAGTCAATTGATTCTTTTCTTTCTCAAGCGGAACTGGCTTGCGCTTTGTTTTTCCATACTTTCAAGCACTAATAAATATTTTTCCAATTTTTGTATGATTTTGTTCAAATAGTTCAAATATATTTCCTGAGAGCCTACTTTGCCCCATAAACCATTCTTGATTCGGAAACTATAAATGTGAGTAAGAGGCAACATTCTTGAACTTGTGGGTCTTACATTTGGGAGAGTATGGTGACCATGATTTGCATGAAAATAGACAATACAGAATTTTTTTTTTTAAAGAAACTGATTTTTCAAAAGGAGCTACAATGAGGAGGGAGTAGTTAAAATATTTTTTTCATTGCATTCTACCTGAGCAGACGTTTCACACCTCTGTACCTCTAGTCTTTTCATCTTAGTAGGTACGCTCTGCAGACTTCAGCACAGCTCACTTGCACAGCCAAGGTTTTTGCAGAAAAATGATCACCCTGTGACTTTGAAACATTGAAGAAAACTGTTCTCTAAGATCATCCAGAT
Organism: Homo sapiens; assembly: GCF_000001405.40. Taxonomy (NCBI): domain Eukaryota; kingdom Metazoa; phylum Chordata; class Mammalia; order Primates; family Hominidae; genus Homo; species Homo sapiens. The sequence continues at coordinate 22,008,414 of NC_000002.12, read as the reverse complement.
TCTGTGCACTTCAAAGGATTTTGTTTTGTTTTCTCATCAATTTGTCAATGTAGGTTTTACAATATTGAAACCGTATCGTATTCCATTAAGCTAAGTTGAGATGAAAGCTCTTTCACGTACGGGAACCCTTCCACCCAGTTTGTGGCATGGACATTTGATTTCTCATTTGTGCCCCATGATTAGTGGGAGGACAGTACCCATGCTGTCCTAACATTGCATCACAGTGTTGAGCAACGGTTACTGATAGATGAAGCAAAAGAGTATCTTTTTAAAACAATCATATTTTAAAGAAAAAAGGACTCCTCACTGGAAGAATGCAGCATCTGCAGCACTCTCCTGGCTAATTTGGCAGGTTCAGAAATTAGTCAAATCAATTATGCAGCAACATGAAGACCAAATCTCTAGCTTGTTCAACCACATTTTGTCTTCCTACCATCTGTGTTAGTCTCCTGTGTTTCTGGAGGAAAAAAAAATCAAGTGGCTTCAGGAAGCTATTCCTTCCTCTCTTACTTTGCTAATAGTGAATGAAAGCGCTTTGGCAAAGAAATCAGGATGATAACAATATGCTCAGACACATATTGATAGCCTTCTCTCATCACCTCACTGGCTCCAGATCCATGTGGCAGGGGAAGGAAAACCTCTAAGCAGAGGTAATAAGTGGAGGCTGACAGATGACAACCCCCAAACTAAATAAAATTTAAATAACGCTTTATAGACATTTCTCTTTGGCCTTTAATGAGCTGCTGCTAAGTCAGGTTTTGTCATCTCCACCTGAGACTCACAATAGGTACTGAGTGGTCAACAAAAGATTAATAAGACACAAGATGAGAAAATTGAATGTTTCATGCCAGTGCTCTATATCCAGGCCCTGTTTACAAAGGCATAGGTGGAAATAAAAAGTGAATGGTAAAGAAGAAGTATTTTACAACATGTTGAGCCAAGGAAAACACTTCTGAAGGTATTAGCACAAAATATACTATGAAGAAGTATAATTTAGTATTCATTTGCTTTTAGGACACTATGTCACCCACTACTGATCATGTGGTGTCCATGCCTCATTATACCTGTGATGGTTACTTTTATGTGTCAAATCAACTTGACTGAGCAGGAGTGCCCAGACATTAGTCAGTCTTTATTCTGCATGTGTCTACGAGATGTTCCTGGGTGAGATTAACATATTAATTGGTAGACTAAGGAAAGTAGATTGCCCTCCCTGAGGTGGGTGGGACTTATCCCGGCAGCAGAAGAATGGTGAAATCTTTGATGCTTTATAAACAGTTTATGGGGACAGTGTCTCAAATAAATCAGCAGTTTACAAATGGGCGATTCATTTTAAGAATGGATACAGTGATGTTAAAGATGAAGTCTGTGATGACAGACCATCTACATCAATTTGTGAGGAAAACATTCATCTTGTGTGCGCCCTAATTGAAGAAGACTGATGAATAGAAGCAGAAACGATAGCCAGCACCACAACATCTCAATTGGTTAAACTCACAAAATTCTGACTGAGAAATTCAAGTTGAGCAAACTTTCTACTCAATGGGTGCCAAAACCATTACACCCAGATGAGCTACAGACGAGAGCAGAGCTTTTAATGAATATGTTAAGTAAGTGGGATCAAGATCCTGAAGCATTTCTTTGAAGAACTGTAACAGGAAGCAAAGCATGGCTTTCCCAGTATGATCTTGAAGACAAAGTACAATGGGTACCAAGAGGTGGAAGTGGTCCAGTCAAAGAAAAAGAGGACCAGTCAAGAACAAAGGTCATGGCAATAGTATTTTGGGATCCTCAAGGCCTTTTGTTTATTGATTTCCTGGAAGGCCAAAGAACAATAACATTTGCTAATTATGAGATTGTTTTTAGAAAGTTAACCAAGGCTATAGCAGAAAAATGCCCAGAAAGGCGTCACCAGCGAGTCCTTCTCCACCACAATAGTGAGCCTGCTCACTCCTCTCATCAATCAAGGGCAATTTTCTGAGAGTTGTGATGGAAAATCACTAGACATCCACCCTACATTCCTGATGTGGCTCCTTCTCACTTCTTTTTGTATCTCGGTGTTAAAAATTCTTAAAGGGCACCCACTTTTTGTCAGTTAATAGTATAGAAAAGAATGCATTGACAAGGTTAAATTCCCAGGACCCTCACTTCTTTAGGGATGGATTAAATATCTGGTATCATTGCTTACAAAACTGTCTTGAACTTGACAGAGCTTATGTTGAGAAATAAAGTTTATCTTTTTAATTTTTATATTGTAATTCTGTATTCCATGAACTTTTTGAAGTCCCCTTATATATGTATTTGTGTGTACTTGTGTGTAGTGTGTATGTATGTATGTGTACACACATATATGCACATGCACACAACCCATTGAGTCTGTCCTTTCTATGTGCCTATACATAAATCCTGTTGGTTATGTTTCTCTGGAGACCCTGACTAATGCAATACCCAAGAAGCTCTGCCCTAGGACTGGTCTGCATATATTGAGGGGAAACAATGGACATGAAGAGACAAAGGAACATCCCTATCTTTTAGAAAGCTCTTCTCTTTCTCTGCTTCTTCTTTGGTGCTCCTCTCTTGACAGAGGACTTGTGCTAATCTACATAAAATGACCTTCAGGAATATTTGCTTTTTCATCTACCTCTTTCCTCCAACATCCTCATCATGAAGCTATATATCTTTATGTAGTCATCAAGACCCTAAAACTGGATTCCTGCTGTTGCTTCAAACACTTAAAATATCCCTAGAATTGTCAGTAGCAAGTGTATCCAGAAATAATGTCATAACAGAATGATAATTAAACACATTCAATCAATTCAACCAAACAGTGATATGGCAGTGTATGAAATCAGTAAACGTTGATAGAGGGAAGAAAGAAGGAAGGAAGGAAGAGAGGGAAGGAAGGAGGAAAGAAGGAAGAGTGTGCTTGCTTAATCTAAGCCATTACTCCTGTGATATAATGTCACTTAGATAAGTTGGTGAGAAGATCTTACCTTCAAAAGGTAACAAACCAGTGAAGAATGGGTATTCATGCACCCTCGACTGCAGTATAAGGTAATTTTTTTGAGGAACTCTGATAGTCCATATGCTTACCAGTGAATCTACACCATTCCTAGTTTACATTAAGCTAAACATTCCAAACTGTTAAGCAAAACCTTGTTTCCCTAATACAAGTAGATGTCTGACTGTGACTCAAATAGTTTTCACACTGCACACCAGCTCCAGTGATAAAGCTGACGATTTCAGGACCAGGCATCACGTTCCAAGTTTGCTAAAAAGAAGTGTAGGAGGAAAGGAGAATATTCAAGAAAGGGTACTTAGGTGGCCTCTCTCTCTGCTCTGTGTATTCAAACATGATGACTAAAACCCTAACACAAGCAATAGTCTCTCAGGAGCTTAGAGAGAATTCAGACACTGCCTTTCTGTATGCCCATTATAATCCTCCAGTAATTACTCCTGAAATAAACATCTACATAATTCAAAATAAGTTACATTGATCAACAAAACTCACTTGTAAACATAAATTTTTTTCCTAGCAGAATTATCTTTCCTACTATGTCTAAGTTTAATATCAAATTATAATGTCTCAAGCACTAGAGTAAGTACCAATGCTTTCTTATTCACTCTTCATAAGATGGTCAAAATAATAGTATTACTTCTATTTTGCAGATGAGAAAGAATAAGGCTTAGAATGTTATAAAAAAAACTACCCAAGGTTAGCCAGCTAGCAAACAAACAAACTGCAGTTTGGTCTCAGATCTGTTGGACCCCAGGAAATGATTCTTGATATCAGTCTTAGGATCCTGATCTTATATTCGTGTATCAGTGGACATTTAAGGAAAGGATGAAGTGGTGCATACATCAAAATGAAATAAATTCAGCTTTCTTTTTGTTCATTCATCAATTCGTCAACTTACCATGTATACTTTAGCTTCTACTTTGCACCAGTTATTGAGCAGACTGTCACAGACACATGCATTACTCATGGTTTCTTATTTGAAATAACTCACAAACGTGACCTTTGAACTGGTGGCATCTACTTTTATGTCTGCTTCGCCTTCCTCAAGGTTTTCATTGCCCTTCCTGCCCTCTGCGCATTTGACTGGACCACTTACCTCCCTTAACCCCTGATGCCTAACCTCCAGGTGGAATTGAAGCCTCATCTCTTCCAGTAAACCTGCCCTGGGCACCTCTGTCCTCCTGAGACATTTAACATGAGATGCAGCCCAGTGATTCACTGTTACCTAAATTTTCCTGTTGTTTAATTTTTCCATATGGACTGTAAGTTTATGGACAATAAGATTTATGGATAAAACATTTTTTCCTCATTAATATCACAATACAGGGCCCATATTATCTATTAAGTAAACTCAGAATAATTTTCAATGAGACATATTTCTTGAAAGTCAGTTGTATTTCTTTAAGACTTAAGTTGTCCCTCTTAAGACTAGCCCTTTGTTTAAGACATGGATGTAACTGGGATCTTCCCAGTTGTATGGGTTTTTACCTTTCCAATCTTCAACTTTGTTTGACATCTCCCAGTACGAAAGAGAAGGATTCCATTACTTGGAAACCGCATGAATTTCTCCTAGTAACAAGCATAAACTCTGGAATTCTATAGGAAAACAGGCAGCTTCTTATTGAAAGAAATTTTTTATGCACTATAACATAATTTTTCATTGGAATTTTAAAAACTACTTTAAAAGCTGCCAATACATAAACCTAATGTGCTTTTTAAAATACATTTTTACCAAATATACTGGGCTTAAAAATTGAAAGAGAATTTGTCTCTCTTCTCTCTTTTCTTTTTTTTTTTTTTTTTTTTTTTTTTTTTTTTGTCTATGGCCAAGATTTTTTTTTTCTTGCTAGCACTCTGGAGCCTTGTATCTTATTGTGATTTGATGGTGACCTCACAGGTACCTTATTAATAATGAACCAGAGGGGCTCCGTGGAGCTTGGGTTTGGAGTAATAAATCATACTGTAAGTAAGTGCCGTGTTTGCAGTTTTAGAATTTAGAGGAATGAAATAACCAAGATTGAGGGTCTGGCGGGTGGTCAAAGTGATTAGGGGTGGGGGCTGGCCTTTCATGGGGCTGACACATGCTTATGGTTATTAATTACTTTTACATTTACATTGCTAATTGCTGTTATTCTTTCCAGTTACAATGTAATTGAATTTAAAAATTGAAGCTTCAAATGTCAAGTCCAGATATTACACTGTGCCTCTGCCCAAGGAAGTTTATATATACAGTTTAGTTTATACGAAAGGATGGATTATAAGGCAAGCTTCAAGGTGGCTAATGATGCCCAAGGCAGAAAATTTGATGCAAAGGAGATTCCAGGGGGTTAGAAAAGAGAAACAAGATCATGGAAAGTTAACATGTGAATTTTAACTCATCAATTAACCACTATGCATTTCAGTTATCCTATTGAACAGAAAGCATCTGTAAGTCAGCACGAATGATAATTGCTCCTGTAGTTCAAGTCAATATGTTTTTAAAACGGTCAATTTTCCATGAATTTTGTGACTTGAACTGTGCTGGGTGATGAAGGTGAGGGAATGTGTGTAACACGTGTTTTCAGTCACGTAAGCTCCTGGGCCACTTGGCATAGTTCAGCGTTTCCTGACAACTTGGATATGGACCTCTGGAAGAGTTTGAGGAAAATGTGGACTCCTTCCTCTTGCACATGCACATAATTACACACGGATTCAATAGAACCTGTGAACAAATGGGTGTGGGATGAAATAAAGAATTCTGCCTTAATGGATCCCAGAATGGGAATGCCTGGTTCAGGAGCAAGCTGACTGGTAACCCAGCAGGATCACCACCAGGACACGCTGTTGGTGTTTGCAATCATGATCCCCAGTTACTGAGAAAAATTAATCCCAGTTCTTTGTCTTTTCTTAAGAAGGCAGGTAGATGGGTGATTCATCTTTTAGTTAAAATTTTCAACCAAAAAAATTGTTCTTTATTTAAGCATTATAGAACAACCATTAATAGTGAAAATGCTATTAATTTTCATGAGAGTTCATTCCTTGATAATAATACTTGAATAAGGAACTTCTGTACATGGAAACATCACCTTTCCAGGATTTTCTCCCACACTTGAGGGCCTGGAGCGAGGAGCCATTTTGGCAATTCTCCCACTTCCTCTTGTGGTTAGGAAGCTCTGTGTGGTCAGGGCTACACACATTCCTGAACAAGGGCAAATTCTGCCATAGTTTACCATAAACACCTTGAAACATCATACTTATCTTACACTTTTCTCCCCATCACAAACACTACTTGGAGCTTTATAATTACCCAAGAGGAATTTAGCTGGGAAATTTCACATATCATCTCTCTCTCTCTCTCTTTCTCTCTCTCTCTCTCTCTCTCTGTCTTTCTTTCTTTCTTTTGAGACGGAGTCTCGCTCTGTCACCCAGGCTGGAGTGCAGTGGTGCGATCTCAGCTCACTGCAAGATCTGCCTCCCAGGTTCACACCATTATCCCACTTCAGCCTCCCCAGTAGCTGGGACTACAGGCACACACCACCATGCCCCGCTAATTTTGTTTTTGTACTTAGTAGAGATGGGGTTTCACCTTGTTAGCCAGGATGGTCTCAATCTCCTGACCTCGTGATCCACCTGCCTTGGCCTCCCAAAGTGCTGGGATTACAGGCTTGAGCCACTGCACCTGGCCAATATCTTTAATTTTTAAAGATTACAGGACAGAGGCCATGAAAAGGATAGCAGCTCTTCAAAGCCTCCAGTCAGCTTGGGAATTGAAAATGAAAGTAGTTGCATGCTCTCAGAATTGGGCTCCATGGAACCACTGGGAATGCAGTTCCCTGGGATTTGGCAAACATGTTGTAAGGGCTTTCAGGCAGAAAGCAGCCTGGAAACATTACTGACCTCTGTTAGAGAGAAGTCTCCAGTAGATCTAACAAAAGTTCATCTCTAATGGATGTGTTCTTTAGTGCTTCTCAGTAAGGCAAGATACCTTTAACAGCATCTTTGAAATTATAGTACTTTGTTCTAGTTTCATAGTAAATGCTCTGACGGCAGTGTGGGCTCTCTTGGGTTTCTTCCTTCTTTGCTGTGAAAACATACACTGCATATACACTGTCATTATCGTTGTTATTAAGTAGTGTGAGAGCATGAGTTTCTACCCCATCATCTATGCAGGGCAGAGGCAGTGAATCCTGCTGGAGTGTAATAACAATCTATAAGTAAACCAGTTGTGGTGAAATCTATCAAAAAATGTGGCAATTTATGAAAATATGTCCCTCAAGCACACCAAAGTTGTCATCAAAGTGAGTTAACTGACAATTAACTTCTACATCTTGCACAAAGGGTGTGGAATTCTAGTGTAAAAATAAAACCAGCTAAGACATATCTACTGTCTATGAACAATAAATCAGAAACAAAAAAATGAACAATGCCACTTGGTGCTTTTCAATGTACACTACCATATTATGGAACACTGCTGTTCAGTCTTCTGATTTAGAAAGGCTACTTTCAAGGGAGACTATAATGGTGATATTTTTGCCTACATATTTTAACTTAAAATTTCAGCCAACGAGCAGTTGTTGAGTGACCGCTGTGTTCTTGGAACTGGGTCACAAAAAGGATAATTTGTTAACAACTATTAGCACTGCTATGCATTCCTGCTAACCATTACGCTTGGTAGGTGTATATTTATATTTTAAACAAATTATTTACATTGGCATTCAGTTAGTTAACTTTTGGCAAATTCACCTATACCCCAAGTAAAAGCACGTAGAGGATTCTACATGTGCCTCAGAGACAGAGAGTGAAATGGCCAGGAAAGGAGATGACATTTGTACTGGCCCTAAAAGGATATTTAGATTTTAATTATTTCTAGCCAACCTATTGGTATGTTCTTGTTCTACTTCACCAGCTCAACTGAGGTGTCTCTCAAAAAGAGAGAGAGAGAGAGAAAGTAAAGAAAGAAGAAAGAGAGAGAGAGAGAAGAAACTACAATATCGAGAACCACCTTTGTGCCCTGCCTCCTAGTCCTGAACTTACTTCCCCTCTGAGGAGCTCCTGCAGCTTTTGCCCTCTGCAGCACAGAAGGCTGCACATCATTCCAGTATTCCCACTGTCCTGGGATCCTGAAGAGTCTCTTGAACTTTTCTGACTGACTGAGGCAATAACTTAATGTCACAGTCTAGAGTGTGTAAGCAAATTATACAGTCATGGACAGTACAGAAAAATTTTCCTATGCCCAGATTTGTCCACTCAGCTCTCAGCCAACCACTTGCTCACTAATCTTGACACCAACACCAGGCTGTGATGTACTCTTATGCTCTTCCTGGAAAACCTCCATGCACATCAGCAGGTCTAACACTCAGTTTCCCCGTTGTACTTTCTCTCACCCTCCATGCCTTTGAAAGTAATGCTCTCTCCTAAAATCACAGGTCATCGCTTCCACATCATTTATGTTTTGAAAATTTTCTTTATTTATGTAATTCATTAAGTATTTATCAAGCCTACTCCAGATATTATCATAAAGATTATGAAACAGCAGTGAATTTAAAGTAAAAATGTTTCTGCCTTCTTTAAGCACATAATGTATTGTGTGGAATTAGACAATAGACAAAAAAGTAGCCTATATAGTAATGAGTGCTTTGGAGAAAAAAAATTGGAACAAAGAAATATTTGAGTATTGTGCAATAGTAAAGAGGGTGATCAGGGATCTTTCATGGATAAGAAAATATTTAACCAAAAATCAGACGGACATATAATTAAACATTTATCAAGAAGCTATTGTACTTCTAATCCCTAGATTCTAAAACAAACAAACAAATAAAATAAGTTCCTTATGTCTATGTGATTTATATCCTCTGTCAGGCATTAAATACCTTAGGAGAGAAAAACCATAATTATTCTTTTTATCTTTACCAACCAATACAGAGACAAGTTCATTGTGCTTATAAAAGATTAGACAAAGAGTTAGATGTAAGAGCAATTGAATATTTTTCACATTTTCTAAAAATGTTAAGTCTTAGTCTCCCCCAAAAAAGGCTGTGAAAGAGACACCATTGATAATCAGATATTTCAAATGTCCCTCAGAGTTTTCAGACCCCTTTTCTGTTGTCAGGGACAAAGAGTTTCATCCAATAAAACATGAGTAGAAGTTACATGTGTCACTTATGAGCCAAGGCATTTAGGAGACCACACATGAGCCTTCAATTTTCTCTCCTCTGCCTGTGGCAACCTCAAAAGTAATGCGTTGAGATGGAAAAGTCAAAAATGGGGTACCTTGGACCACTGGATGGAGAAAAGTCCTACTAGATTGTAGCAGATTTTTTTCAAGAAAGAGAAACCTTGTTTTGTTAAGTAATTAAGATTTTAGAAATCATCTGTTACCACAACATTGTCCAATCTTTTTTTTTTTTTTTTTTTTTTTTTTTTTTTTTTGAGGTGGAGTTTCATTCTATCTCCCAGGCTGGAGTGCAGTGGCACAATCTCGGCTCACTACAACCTCTGACTCCTGGGTTCAAGCAATTCTCCTGCCTCAGCCTCCCGAGTAGCTGGGATTACATGTGCCTGCCACCACGCCTGGCTAATTTTTGTGTTTTTCGTAGAGATGGGGTTTCGTCACGTTGGCCAGACTGGTTTCGAACTCCTGACCTCGGGTGATCCACCCACCTCGGCCTCCCAAAGTGCTGGGATTACAGGCATGAATCACTGTGCCTGGCCCAATCTACTTTTATCAAATAAGAATGTGAGCGTATCATTGTAGGGAGTATGTAATCAGTAGTTTTAAGCATTACTCATTAAGGTGTGGTAGAAATAGAACTGAGTTCACTGGAAGTTACCAAGTATTATATTGACATGCTTTAGTTCATTGAAAAGTTAGTTCTAGGAATTTAAGGAGATTTTCCTAAGCTACTCATGTGGCTTCTAGAGACTCTGTAATAACAAATACGACAGCCCCAGCTAGTTTCTTTGAGTCTTTAGTTGCTATTCCATCCCTGGGTTGCATGGTATAGAGGGTTAAGGAGCAGCTGCTTTGATTTGTGTTAGGAAACTGAGGGGGCATAGGAGACAGACACTTCCTGCCTCAGGAGGGCTTATGTCAAGAATACACACTGGAGTGGATAATTTATTCTCATGAATTGAACAGTGTACCTAGCTGTACTGTGAACTCCAGGATAATGGAAACTTTAATCTGTTATTCCCCCACATTTCTCACAGCACTGACCAAGAGAAGGGTCAGTAGATAATTGACAGCTGCATTTGTTGGTTGGCTCATTAGTTGGGTAATTGAAAAAGCCAGTGAAATAAACAAAAGAAAGCAACCCAGACTGGTGACAGCACTTTTTTTTTTTTTTGAATTACTTAGATCTCAGAGTTTGAATCTGGAGTTTCTGAAACCTAAAGTAGTTATTAAACTTTCCCTGGTCTAGACTCTGAGACCAACTAGTAGGTAATGTATCTATTTGCAGATACAATAAATTAACTCTGGATGATGTGAGCACAAAAGACAGATGGGTGGAGAGCCAGAGTTAGGGACATGCTGAAGTCACCTGCAGACTTGCTATAGTGAGGACACCACCACCAGCGAGGACCCTGGGCACTAAGCACTAAGCCCTACAGCTGACACCATCTGTACTCCCAGCCCTGGGCACTGGCAGTCACCAACAGCAGCTACCACTGCTGCCCAGGAGGCTGTTTTCACTATACCCTCTTCCTCTCAAAGCCTGTTATTAAGATTTCTTGTGTGCCGTTTATAGCCAATCTTCTAAAAATAGTATATTTCATTTGCTGGATTAATTTGTTCACCTTACCTTCACTTTGCAACCCAAAGCAACTGGCTTCTTTCTCCACCACTCCACTGCTGCTGCCTTTTGGCTAAGATCTCAGTGACTTTCCAATTGGTAAATGCAAAGAACATTTTATTCAACTGAGCTCTGATAAGTGTAATACTCTTGATCACTCCCTTTTTCATTGGCACCTATTTTTCTGTTCATGCCTTAAGTGCTAGTATCCCAAGGGCATAATCCTTGACGCATAAATCCATTCACTCTGCACTTCCCAGGGATCTAATCCACTCCTGTGATTTTAACTGCTACCTACATGGTTAATGACACTTATATCTTTATAGCCATAACTTGTCTTCTGAGCTTCATATGTGTATGTACAAATTGCTGGTAAAATCTGTAATTAAATATATCACAGGAACTTTGAAATTACATATTTTAAACTCAACTTATCCTGTACCCCAAATGTGTTGTCTTTTTATGTTCCCTGTATCACTGAATTTCATAATTTTTCACCCGGTTTCCCCGCCAGGAAGATGGTAGTCATCCTTAAATTTTTCATCTTGCTTAGCCCCAAAATGAAATCTAACAAGTCTCATATATTGGAACTTTGTACATTCTTTTGGATCTATTCAATTGTAACTAATAATCTCTTAATTCAGGATTTCACAGTAATTTTCAAGTACTTTTTGACATAGTCCCAAGTCTAAACAGTCATCTCTGGCTCTCTGTTCTTCAGGGTCTTTCCTCCCACCTCCTTTTTTTTTTTTTTTTTTGGAGATGGAGTTTCACTCTTGCTGCCCAGGCTGGAACGAAGTGGCACGATCTCGGCTGACGGCAACCTCTGCCTCCTGGGTTCAAGCGATTCTCCTGCCTCAGCCTCCCTACTAGCTGGGATTACAGGCATGCATCACCACCCCTGGCGAATTTTGTATTTTTAGTAGAGATGGAGTTTCTCCATGTTGGTCAGGTTGGTCTCGAGCTTCTGACCTCAAGTGATCCACCCACTTTGGCCTTCCAAAGTGCTGGGATTATAGGCATGAGCCAACGCACCCAGCCTCCCCCTCCTTTTATCAAGTTCCTGACTCTGTTCCTCTACACACATCCCAAGATGAAAGATGATGTCATTAAAAATGAAGTCACATAAACTTTATCGCATTTTTAGCCATTCAGGGGGTCCTGTATCTTCAGGCACACAGGCGTGCCCCTTCTTTTCCCACTGCACCCTGACAATATGAAGCCAGCATAGTTGCCTGCACATTCCATGTGGTTTCAACTCTCTGGCCATGTTGTTCTGATGCCTTGAACGAACTCTTCTTTGATATAAGCTCTATTTAACCTAATTTACTGTTGTTCATTTTTCAAGACATAGCTCAAATATTACTTCCTCCAAGAAGTCTTCCTGGAAATCTCCAAAGTGGGGAGATTTTTTTGGTCCTTGTTTATCTGTATCAAACTATGTATATGCTCTGATAACACTTACGTTTACTCACAAGTGTTCGCCACCTGACATCTACTCACTGAAGAAAAAGTAGTTATTTAAAGACAGTGCACCCACATACCCTGGTGTGAATCATATTCTAGTCTTTATCTTTTGTTGTTGTTGTTGTTCTGGGTACTTGTTTCATTTTGTGGCCTCTGAATGTAGAAACCAGCAGCTAGGATAAGGTCAGAGAGCCCCTCCTGGTAACCCCTAAGTTTGGATTGTTTGTACATTTTCCTGGATAGAAAATCTAATACAAATAACAGTTGTTTGTTAGAATTCCCATGGAGTCCATAAGTAGATTATGATAAATAGGCAAACAAATGAAAAGTTTGACAGCAGGATACCAGGGCTTCTGGGAACAAGGGCCCCAAATAAGGTGGGTGGCTGAGGATGTTCTATTTCCATCTGTAAGTAGGTTGTTCATAGCTCCTTACTCTCCTTTCATCCACTTCATTTTTCTCTCTTGCCATCAGATCGCTTTTCCCTGCTCCTCAGTCCACATGGAGAAACCAAATGTCATAAGGGTGAAAATTTGAATGACCTTTGTTTCAGCTAGTCAGAGCAGAATACACTTTTTTGTTCCAAAATCCTAGAGAAGAACATTGGCATATTATGAGTCAAGTACCTCCCCTGGGAAAAAATAGCTCAGGAGGAATGGTAAGTTATACTATCGTGGCAGGTCAGAGGCAACATTGGGTGTTGAATTGAGAGATTTATTTACTAGATTGAAGAGGAAGGAAGTTGTGCAGGGCTAAAGAATAATAGCTATCCCCTGTACTGGTAATCCTTCACATATGTGCAGTATCCTTCATAGCTTACAAAGTTATTTTTATAAAATAAATTCACAGCTATTTTCGTATTTATTTCTTGCACAACTCCTGTGATTTAAGGATACTATCCTCATTTTATAGATGAGGAAACTAAGACTCAAAGAGAATAAGAAATCTAATTTGACTTAAATAGCCAGTAATGCTAGAGATAAGGCATGAATCACTGCCTTCATTCTTGAATACAAGTGCCTCGAAATATTGACTAACTTGTTGTGGACATTGAAGACCTCCAAAACTCAGGGGTGACTCTCAGAGTCAAGGCTGTACACCCTACTAGGTGAGATATATCCTGCCTAATGGAGTACCACTTTCTCTGCTTCTTAAAGGGGAGATATTGTTGAAATCTTTGCCTCTGTAAAACTGACATCTCTGTCTTTGACTCTAGGTTTGTTTCTAAGACAGGCAATCCATGTTTATTAATTTTTATAGAAAAGTCATACCTCTGGAATGATTCATTCATTTGGCAGGTGTTTTTTGAGCACTTACAATGAAAACGGCTGTTCCTACTCTACAATTGGGAGAAAAATAAGACACTATTCTGGCCATCAAATAATTTACAAAAAGTTGGGCCAGAGGTGGATATATGTAACTATAAAAATATTTACATGTGATAAATGTCATAAAAGAAGTGCAAACAAAATATTATGGGGATTCTGAAAAAGGGACATCACTGTAATAGAAGGTTAAGAAATGTATCACTGTGAAAGTGTCCCTTAGGATGTAGGAAAGTGGAATTGAGTTAGTTACATGATTTAGTGAGAAACGGGCGTAATTGTACAGAGCAGACTTAACAAAGCTGGGCTTTAACTTGAGCCTCACCTAGTTCCACCAGCTGAAGGCTTTAAGTTTATCCCCACCAAGTCTGTGTATTCACAACTGCATTGATTGTTCCCATTCCCACTCTCTGATCCATTTGTCCTCCTGGAAATGACCATAAATCCTATGCTATCAGTACACGTCTACAGTCCTGTTTTTTTCACCAAGTATAATCACATGCATACACCAAGGTTTGGCATTTGTTATTATAAGTGCTAGAATATCATAACTTATTCTTCTTTGCACTAGTAAAAATATTTCTTTTTAAATAAGAAAATGATTTAATTTTTAGTGCAATAGGATATTGTTATGGAGTTGTATATAAAAAAACTAAAAAGAGGGATGCATAAGTCTATAAAATGGTCTGATTTTTCACACTGTTTTTCCAGTCATCGCTGCTTCTCAAGGACAAAGTGGAGGTGCAGCAGGCTGCCTGAATCTGGCTCAGGCCAAGCTGAAGCTGTGGTGAAAGGCTGCAGTTGCAGAAGTGCCTTGTGAATATCTATATCTATATATTAATAAGTATATGAAGTTTTAAATATGTAAAATTATTTAATTTAGACTACAAATATATTTAGAGCAGTGACTATGTACTTAATCCTGGGGATCAGAAGAAAACCAGAAAAAAAAGTCTGTGGTCAAACTTGCGTTGTAATGGGAAATAGACATTAAATAAATAATATAATTTCAAAAATTAATACTTGCTGTCAGAAATATAATGTGTGAAGAAAGGTGATTTTAGGTAAAGGAGGTTAGGAGACACCCAGGGGTAATATTTGAGAGGAGCTGTGAATGAAGGAGTGCAGGGAACGATGTGGCATCTGAGGGAAAACACAGTAGGTAAAAGGGAGAGCAAGAGAAAATGACCTAAAACTGGAATAACCTCAGTGCTTTGGAGAAACAGCAAGAAAAAGGTGATATGATTAGGCTTTGTGTACCCCCAACCAAATCTCACATTGAATTATAGTTTCCATAATCCCCACATGTCATGGAAAGGACCCGGTGGGAGGTAATTTAATCATAGGGATGGTTACCCCCATGCAGTTCTCATGGTAGAGAGTGAGTTCTCAAAAAATCTGATGGTTTTATAGGGGGCTTTTCCTCTTTGCTCAGCTCATTCTCTCTCCTGCTGCCATGTGAAGATGTGCCTTCCAGCATGATTGTAAGTTTCCTGAGGCCTCCCTAGCCATGTGGAACTCTGAGCCAATTAAACCTCTTTCCTTTATAAATTACCCAAATCTCAGGTATTTCTTCACAGCAGCGTGAGAACAGGCTAATATAGTAAATTGGTACCAGGAGTGGGGTGCTGCCATAAGGTGCCTGAAAATGTGGAAGTGACTTTGGAACTGGGTAACAGGCAGAAAGTAGAACAGTTTGCAGAGGCTCAAAAGAAGACAGGAAAATGTGGGAAAGTTTAGAACTTCCTAGAGACTTGGGGGGCTCAGGAGATAGGAAGATGTAGGAAAGTTTGGAACTTCCTAGACATTTGTTGAATGGCTTTGACCAAAATGTTGATAGTGATATGGACAATGAAGTCCAGGCTGAGGTGGTCTCAGATGGACATGAGGAATTTGTTGGGAACAAGAGCAAAGGTCACTCTTGTTATGCTTTAGCAAACAGACTAGCGGCATTTTGCTCCTGCCCTAGAAATCTATGGAACTTTGAAATTGAGAGAGATGATTTAGGGCATCTGATGGAAGAAATTTCTAAGCAGCAAAGCATTCAAGAGGTGTGAAGAGCACGAAAATGGAAAATTTACAGCCTTATTCAGTAGAAAAGAAAAACCCATTTTCTGGGGAGAAATTCAGTTGGCTGCAAAAATTTGTATATCTAATGAGCCAAATGCTAATCGCCAAGACAATGGGCACGATGTCTCCAGGCCATGTCATAGACCTTCAGGGAAGCCCCTCCCATCACAGGCCTGGAGGCCTAGGAGGGGAAATTGTTTTCCTGGGCCTGGTCCAGGCCCCCCACTGCTGTGTGCAGTCCTTGATGCCCTGCATCACAGGCACTCTAGCTGTGGCTAAAAGGAGTCAATATACAGCTCAGACCATTGCTTCAAAGGGTACAAGCCCCAAGCCTTGGCAGCTGCGACATGGTATTGATCCTGTGGGTGTGCAGAAGACTAGAATTAAGATTTGGCAACCTCCACCTAGATTTCAGAGGATGTATTGAAACACGTAGATATTCAGGCAGATGTCTGCTGCAGGGGTGAAGCCCTCATGGAGAATCTTTGTGAGGGCAGTGTGGAGGGAAATATGGGGTCCTAGCCTCCACACAGAGTCCCCAGTGGGACACTGCCTGGTGGAGCTGTGATTAGACAGCCACCATTCTCCAGACCCTAGAATGGTAGATCTACCAATAGCTCATACCATGCACTTGGAAATGCTGCAGACACTCCATGCCAGCTGTGAAAGCAGCTGGGAGTGGGGCTGTACCCTGCAAAGCTACAGAGGCAGAACTTCCCAAGGCCATAGGAGCCCACCTCTTACATCAGCATGACCTGGATGTGAAACCTGGAGTCAAAGGAAATCATTTCGGAACTTTAAGGTTTGATGACTGCCCTTTGAATTTTAGACTTGCATGGGGCCTGTAGCTCTTTTGTTTTGGCCATGTTTTCCCATTTGGAATAGCTGTATTTTCCCAATGCCTGTGCCCCCATTGTGTCTCAGAAGTAACTAACTTGCTTTTGATTTTATGGGCTCATAGGCAGAAGGGACTTGCCTTGTCTCCTATGAGACTTTGGTCTTAGACATTTGGGTTAATGCTAGAATGAGATAAGATTTGGGGGGACTGTTGGAAAGGCATAATTGTGTCTTGAAATACTAGGACATGAGATTTGGAAGGGGCCATGGATGGAATGATGTGGTTAGGCTTTGTGTCCCCACCCATATCTCATCTTGAATTTTAGTTCCCATAATCCCCTTGTATGGTAAGGACCCAATGGAGGTAATTGAATCATTGGGGCAGTTACCTCCATGCTGTTCTCATAATAATGAGTTCTCACAAGATCTGATAGTTTTATAAGGGGCTTTTTCCTCTTTGCTCAACTCATTCTCTCTCCTGCCGCCCTGTGAAGAGGTGCCTTCCACCATGATTGTAAGTTTCCTGAGTCATCCACAGCTATGCAGAACTATGAGTCAATTAAACTCTTTCCTTTATAAGTTACCCAGTCTCAGGTATTTCTTCATAGCAGCATGAGAATGGACTAATACAGAAGGCTCCTGGAGCTGGAGAAGAATAAGTACAGTGAAAAGTAAAGAGATAAGGTGTATGAATAGGAAAAGGCAAACTCATGGGAGCCCTTGTAGGCACAGAATTAGGAGTTTATAATGGATTCTGAATGTGATAGGAAGCCATGGGGTCTTACAAAGGACAATTGTAGTTACTGATACATGAAGTGATAACTGTGTTGGGTGTGAAAGGGAGCAAGAGTGGAGTAGAAGAGAAGTTTGCTGGCATTTTTGAGGATTAGGCTTGAACTAAAGTAGTAGTTATACAGGAGGGAAGACAAAAATTTAGGATGTATTACGAACGTGAACTTGAAAATAAATGGGAAGTGGTAAGTGAGAGAAATAAAGAATCTAAAGACAATTCAGTGATTTTTAACCAAGCAACTGCAAAAATTACATTATCACTTAATGATATGGGGAACATGGGAGAAAAAGTTGGGTATTGTGAGTACATGGGAGGGGCATTGATTAAGATCTCTAGGAGGAGGTTGTGGCATTTGAGACATCCTCATGGAAATGTGAATTTCACAATTGGAGTGCAGGGAAGGTTAGGAAAAACTTGGAAATCATCAGAATATAGATGGTCTTGAAAGCCATGGGATTTGATGAAATAATCTAGGGAGTGTAGAAAAAGAATTTCAAGGACTGAGATTTGAGACAATCACAGAAGAATTGTTTCATTTATAAAGTCAGCCAGGTTTAATCAAGCCTTCCAAACACCTTTGGGATTTGTGTGCTGTGTATCCTCAGAGTGCCCTTCTTTACTCTCTTCTTTCCCAATCTTAACACCAGGAGGCTGACATTGAAGGAATGGTTGAACTAGAGCCTCCTTGCTCTCCTGCTTCTGTTTTGAATTGTTTTGAATTAACCATTAGGAGGAACCAGCATGAGGTTGGAGAGCAAGAGGAGAAAAGTATTGGGATTTATTTCCCCTTTTATTTTTACCTAAAATCTTGGGATTTATTTCCCCTACTCCCTTAATAAAGGGCTGTTGTCTATGGTGAATGTCTATTCAGAACTAGAAGAACTAGAAGTAACTTTATATTTCCCATATGCTTGTTATGATATTAATCCCATGCAATGCAACAGGCATGTGTGAAAACACTTTCAAAAATCAGATCTACCATTTTTCCCTGCCTGAAAGTTGAAGGGGAGGAATAAATGTGGCTTTCTCACTAGCCTAACAGCTTTATATCAGCAGTCCCTAATCTTTTTGGCACCAGGGACTGGTTTCCTGTAAGGATATTTTCATAGACCAGGGCAGCGGGGCATGGTGGTTTTGAGAAAATTTAAGCACATTGCATTTATTGTGCACTTTATTTCTATTATTATTACATTGTAGTATGTAATGAAATACTTATACAACTCACCATAATGTAGAATAAGCATGAGCCCTGAGCTTGTTTTCCTGCAACTAGACAGTCCCATCTGGGGGTGATGGGAGACAGCGAGAGATCATCAGGCATTAGATTCTCGTAAGGATTGTGCAACCTAGATCCCTCGCATGTACAGTTCACAATAGAGTCTGGACTTCTCTGAGAATCTAATGCCACCACTGATTTGACAGGTGGTAGTGCTGAGGCAGTAATGTGAGCAATGGGAAGTGGCTGTAAATGTAGATGAAGCTTTGCTCCCTTGCCATTCACCTCCTGCTGTGCAGACCTGGTTCCTAAAAGGATACAGACTAGTATGGACTTGTGGCCCAGGGACTGGGGACCCTGGCTCTATATTCTCTGATGCTTAGTATATGTGATGCAAGAATGACTGGGTGTTTTTAGTATTTTCCAGAAGCCCAGAGGTAATACTGTGTGGATGAAAAAACAAATGAGACCAGGGACCCGGGTGGAGCAATTCCCAGGAAAGAGAGAAGAAAAGATGGGGGAAATAATATCTCCTTGAAAACATCTCACTGAAGGAATTAGTCTGTGGAGGGGGAAATGACTCAGGGTGATAACACAGTCTATCTTGATTAACTTGGGCTTCTACCTACTACCAGATTCTTCAGTGTCTTACAGGAAAATATCACTAGAATTTGTTTTATTTTGAATCGGTTATGTAAGATAAAAACACTCTAAGGTCATGGACTCGGATTTCTTCTGCTGTCTATAATGTTTAAACAATCTTCCATGTTCATGTGGTAGGTAAGAAGTGTTATCTGAACTGATAAAACCAGTTAAAGCAAGAGAACCTCCAGAGGGAAGAAATAGTCTCCTTCCTGTCTAGTCTCATACACTGTCCTCCTGACAGGGTGATGCAAACTTGACCAAGTGGGAAAGTGTCATAGATATTTCCTTCTGTGTTATACATTAAATCTTGTGCTGGAATAGCTTTGCACCTCTCGAATATCCAGTGATAGTGATAGTGATAGTGATCGACACCATTTCTGGGAGTGCTGAAGTATCGCTGATCCAACCACTAATGCATTCATGCTGATGGGCCCTGGACTTCAGGGCAGAAGCTCTCCAAAGCTACACTGACTTCACTCTACTTCCTGACAGCTCCAAGGGGTGGTACTAAATGGACCCATACTTAATTTCACATGACAATTATCCAGCCACATTTATTTTGGTCAGAAGCTGATGTTCTTATTCACCATGGCTGTGTTAAATTTTCAATATCATAGAAGACGCTTTCTGGCTGAATGCAGGATTGATGTTGAATTTTTGAAGTTAAATCAGTTAGCAAAATAGATGCTCAGAAAGACTGTAAAAACTGGATGTATTGTCAGCTACATGTTTGCTCCAGGCCATCTCTCAGAGATGTTACTGTCTAGTAAAGTGAGTGAGGTGACATTGACCTGTGTATAAAATCCCTTTTATAGAAGTTTTGGCATATATAGTATCTGCATTAACCTGGCAGGTCTTTGTTTACCTGTAATATATCTGTGTTGAATATCCAATCTGTGCTAAACCATGAGGATTATTATTTTAACTTAAATTTCTATTTGATTAAAGCATTAGCCAAAACAGCTGCTGGCCCATCAGAGAAACAGAGTGAAGGTGCCAGGGTTGGATTTGAGTTCTGCCTCTTCCATTGACTGGCAATGAAGCTTGGTCAAATGACCCCACCGTCTTCATATATCAACATGATTATAACAACAATATGTGTTACTTACAAAAATTCCTGCTATTGTGAATATTAAATGACGTAGTTCATGGGAGAATACTTTTTAAGTACTTTTTTAGAAATGATGAACTTTATATATTTTTTAAAAACATGAAGACAGTAACATTTTAGATAAGACATTTGACCACAGAATACCAGAAGGCCTCTTTTGTACAATATTCAGAACAGAGTAATATGTAAATAGAGGGGAGTTAAAGGAATTTGATGTTGATGAACTAGAGAAAATAAACACACCTTTTTGTGGCAACAGCTGGATAGAAGGAATTTAATTTTTCCTCACATTCCAAGATTCAGTAAGAATTCAGCAGGGGAGAGGCTACTTACACCAGCCTCATATTTTGAGGTCAGCAAAGAGGGAATTTAAGACATCTTTTTTTAAGTTTGATATTTAATCTGACAGAAATGTTACAAGATGGGCAACTTTTATGTTGCCTTTGTGTCTCTACTGGATGATGGTGGCCTTATGGGCAGGGATCATTTCATCTCTCCTAAAGCAAAGAGCACAGAAGAACACACAGTTAGGTGTTTGGTAACAGCCGGTTAATGAACTTGCTTGCTTCATTTCCATTTCAACCCTAAATAGAATGTAAAATGCCATTTTATGCTTGAAACATAGCAGCACAAATATTTTTATGGATTTAGTTCAATGTATCTCATGAAATGACAGCCAAGTAAATTGCTTGAAGGACACCCTCCCATAGCGTGACAGTGGCTCTGTCCTGCTTTGTTCAGCTCACGTTAGCACAGACCTCATTCTCCAGCACCTACATTTATGAAAGATGGATGAAATAACTCCTAGTGCTTTCACCCAATCCTAAAATTGCTGCTGCACTACACAATAACTGTCTAGAGTTGCTTATTCCTTTTCTTCTATTAATAATACATTAAACCTCCGTTTAAAAAAAAAACTCAGAGAAGAAAAGGGAAAAGAAGATGATAATGACTTCTTGACAGATCTTGAATGAAAGGCTTTAATACAGCTTTAACTGAGCTTGACACACCATTTTTAATGTGCAAGTTCCTTCTGTTTCCCAATCTCTTCATACTTAATTGAGAAGTCCCACTTAGGGATGAGCGAAGAGTCTAATGAATCTCTTCTCCAAAATCATTAATTCAAAATATCTGATGTTGCTTATGCATTTTTTTGGTGATAACGACTCTCCCTGTTGATGTCTGCATAGAAATGGACTGAATAACCATGTTTTGCGAATAGAACCCAGGCTGTTCAAATTGGAACTGTGTTTTATTAATCACAGTTCTTAAAGATATTGAACATTGGAGGGGTAGATCAGGAAATAAATAATACATACTTTTGAAAAGTCCCTGAGATGAGTAGCTGTTCTCTTTATAAATATTACAAACCTCACATAATCCCTTAGGTAAAGACACAATATTCAACATACATAATGATGAACAACAACAAAACAGCATTTTAATTGGAACCACAGTAGCCCTGACTACGGTCTGCTCATCTTGTTAATTCATATCCCCTTGAGTTGTGTGAACTAGGCGATTAGTAGCCCCAAATAATAGATCATTATCCTGAGATAAAACAATCGACCCACATTTGGTCACTGTCAGTGATTAATGATATAAAACAGAGATAAGCCTTATGCATGGAGGATTTGGGTATCATTTTAGGATCATGTCTAATACTTGCTGCACATCTAACCTAACATTTAAACTTATTTTGGGCATACATGGTTGTGTAGGCTTGTTAATCATTTACCTATAAAAATAAAAACTAGGTATTTCTGAAATTTGGAAAATATTTTGTATTGCATTTATTCTTTAGTTAGAATTATGGCATACATTAGCACTGTAAAATTAATTGCTCTAATTAGCAAGTGTCATCAGTGACAAACTAACATAGAACATTTTATTTGCTGCAGCTGTCATTAATATAAAAAAAAAAGTGAAGGAAAAAGATTTTTAATTAGTCATGTATGAGCCAATCGGGTCATATTGGAGTAGCCAACATCCCTTTTCCTCTGACTTTTGAATCCAGTTACAGATATCAGGGATTAGCACTGGGGTACCTCAAGTCCCTGGAAGCCCCTCACATCTCAGCTGCTCTTATACGGCTGCTACTTTCCCACTGATTACCCACTACTTCTATAGCTAATTATCTGTTAGCATATTTCAAGCTTGTCTTTTCAAGCAGAAATGTGGCTGGAAACTGTCTTATTTATCTCTGACCCAAATCTGAGCCTGGGCTAGTGTCTTTATACAATCATAGGTTCAGAAAAAAGACATGTTGATTGATTGATTGGTATTTGAGCAGTAAATCAATTTCAGAACATGGCTTCTTTTTTAACTTATTCTCTGCAAAGTCAAAAAAAGCCACATCTGCTTGAGTAAAAAGGATGCGTCATATATTTTCAATTCCTAACCTTGTTCAGATGGCAATAAAAGCAAATAGCCTTATATCTTTCTCTTGTAGATACTCATGAGAAGACATATTTTGCTTCATTTTACTAAACATTTTCAGCACCTATGATCAAGTCACTGAGGATGAAAAAATATGAGGGCACTGTCATCATGGTACAATTTTGGAGAAAACAGATGTTGATACATGATAGAATGGAAACAGATATAAGATAGAATTAAAGGAATTTTAAATAAATTCACGATATACTATTATCTGAAATTTAGGGTTGTTACACACTTTGTTGAACACACAAAGCTCCTTGAGTACAAGATCTATGTTTCTGTTTTCTGTTATATCCCCATTACTAGCAAGTCCTACAAAGAAACTCATATTATTGAATATTTATCAATAAAGGAATGCTCAAGAAATAATTTTATTCTGATATTTTTCCTCTAGTTTTACAAGCCAGTGACTAGCACATACAGCCAAACTATATGGCAGGATTAACAGTTATATTCGTATTTTTCTTCTCATTGTGTGACTGGTGCTGGAGTGAGAATAATACATGGAGGTCAAGAGGCAAATGTTCTCCTACAAATTGCTTAGCCCGTTCAAAATGAATACGGTATTTAGAAAAGGAAGAAGTCAATTCAGCAATTTAATGGTACTCTGAATATTTTATGTCTTCAAATACTTTATTTTCACATAAATTGAGAGTTCCACAAAAGTAAAAATATCAACGTGTGTTGAATGAGTGGTTAAAAAATGGACATCCCATTTTGTGTATTACAGCCAACGATAGCAATAGGCTTGTAATGATTGCAATTCATGGACTTTTGTTTAATTTCCTGTTAAATTTGCATATTTGTCTTGCTCTTTTATGGGGGAAGGAGAAAGAGAGGTGTGTGTGGGTTTTTATGAAACCAGTCATGTTTCCCTGTTTACTAAGGTTGTTCCTACACCACCATTTCCAAGCACTTCATGTTGAGTATTGTGTATGATATGGTTAAAATTATTCTCCCATCCAGTGTGTGTGTCTGTACATGTATGTGTTTATGTGAATGTGATTTAAGGTACATAAAAATCCTTCCCAGGAACTAGGCCAGAAGAATTGAGAGCTAGGTCAGGCCTCTGGAAGGTATGCTGTTTCACAGTGAGTAAAACTCTACGTAGGTAACAACACTAAATGGATCCCCAGTGATTTGCCCTTTTAGAAAGTGAGTGCTCTCTGAGAATCAGCAAAATCATCCCTGAGTCTTTTGTTAAACTCTTCTTGAATTGTGATTAAAGTGCTTGATTTGGTGTATGAGTGTGATTTTGCGTGGTATGTGCATTGTGCCAAAAAAAACCAGATGATCTGGGCAGTTCCTCGTCTCCCTTGCATTGTGACTTGTTATGTTCTGCCACTTCAGACAACACGCACGTTCTCTCCCACCTCACAAAACCCTTTTTCATCTTCAGGATGAATTTTCTCTGGTACCTCCTCAGCAAAGAGGTCAGAGAATGGAACCCTGACCTTGTGTGGATTCATGAATATGCAGTATCCAGGCATCTTAAAAGAAAAAAAAAACAATTTTCTGCTGACCATGGCATTGCAGTTAGCATAGTGGGCAAGTTATAAAACCTCCTCGTATCTCAGTTTACTGAGGTATAAAATGATGCCAATGATGTACCTCCCTTCCATGATTGTTGTAAAGATTAAATGAGTAGTAAAAAGCCTAAGGTAAGTTCTGAGAACACTCCCTGATCAATAAGTACCATCTAGAATATCTAAGCTATGCTGTTGATACTGCCAACTGAGATTCTGGTTTGTAGGAGTTTGTAGGAGACTGATATGGTTTGGCTCTGTGTCCCCACCCAAATCTCATCTTGAATTGTACTCCCATAATTCCCACCTGTTGTGGGAGGGACCCAGTGGGAATACTTTGAATCAGGGGTACAGTTTCCCCCATACTGTTCTTGTGGTAGTGAACAGGTCTTATGAGATCTGATGGTTTATCAGGGGTTTCTACTTTTGTATCTTCCTTCTTTTTCTCTTTGCCACCACCATGTAAGAAGTGCCTTTCACCTCCCACCATGATTCTGAGGCCTCCCAGCCACATGGAACTGTAAGTCAAATTAAACCTCTTTTTCTTCCCAGTCTTAGGCATGTCTTTATCGGCAGCATGAAAACGGACTAGTACAGTAAATTGGTACCAGTAGAGTGAGGTGTTGCTGAAAAAATACCCCAAACTGTGGAAGTGACTTTGGAACTGGGTAGTAGGCAAAGCTTGGAAGAGTTTCCTGTCAGAAGATGACAGGAAAATGTGGGAAAGTTTGGAACCTTCTAGAAATTTGTTGAATGGCTTTGACAAAAATGCTGATAGTGATATGAACAATAAGGTCCAACCTGAGGTGGTCTCAGATGGAGATGAGGAACTTGTTGAGAACTGGCGCAAAGGTGACTCTTGTTATGTTTTATCAAAGAGAATGGAAGTGTTTTGCCCCTTCCACAAAGATTTGTGAAACTCTGAACATAAGAGAGATGATTCAGAGTATCTGGTAGAAGAAATTTTTAAGCAGAAAAGTATTCAGGAGGCGACTTGGGTGTTGTTAAAAGCATTCCATTTTAAAAGGGAAACAGAGCATGAAAGTTTGGAAAACTTGCAGCCTGATAATGCAGTAGGAAAGAAAAACCCATTTTTTGAGGATAAATTCAAGCTGGCTGCAGAAATTTGCCTACATAACAGGGATCCAAATGTTAATCCCCAAGACAATGGGGAAAATGTCTCCAGGACATGTCACAGGTCTTCATGGCAGGCCCTCCCATCACAGACTCCAAAGCCTAGGAGGAAAAAATGGTTTTGTGGGCCAGGCTCTGTGTCCCAGTGCCGTGTGAAGCCTAGGAACTTGGTACTCTGTGTCCCAGCCACTCCAGCTGTTGCTAAAAGGTGCCAAGGTACAGCACTGGCCATGGTTTCAGAGGGTGCAAGCCCCAAATCTTGGCAGTTTCCATGTGTGTTGAGCCTGCAGGTTCACAGAAGTCAAAAATTGAGCTTTAGGAACCTCCACCTAGATTTCAGAAGATGTATGGAAACGCCTGGATGCCCAGACATAAGTTTGCTGCAGGGGCGGGGCCCTCTTGGAGAACCTCTGCTAGGGCAGTATGGAAGGGAAATGTGGGATCTGAGCCCCCACACCAATTCCCTACTGGGACACCATCTAGTGGAGCTGTGAGAAGAGGGCCACCTTTCTCCAGACCCCAGAATGGTAGACCCACCCACAGCTTGCCCCATGCACCTGGAAAAGCCACAGTCACTCAACCCCAGCCTGTGAAAACTGCCAGGACGGGGGCTATACCCTGCAAAGCCACGGGGGTGGGGCAGAGCTGCCCAAGACTATGGCAACTTACCTCTTGCATCAGTGTGACCTGGATGTGAAACATAGAGTCAAAGGAGATCATTTTGGAACTTTAAAATTTGACTGCCCCACTGGATTTCAGACTCACATATGCCCTCTAACCCCTTTTCTTTGGTCAATTTCTCCCATTTGAAATGGCTGTATTTACCCAATTCCTGTACCCCCATTATATCTAGGAAGTAACTAGCTTGCTTTTGGTTTTACAGGCTCATAGGCAGAAGGGACTTGCCTTGTCTCAGATGAGACTAGACCATGGACTTTTGGGTTAATGCTGAAATGAGTTAAGATTTTGGAGGACTGTTGGGAAGGCATGATTGGTTTTGAAATGTGGGGACATGAGATTTGAAGGGGCCAGGGGTGGAATGATATGGTTTGGCTCTATGTCCCTACCCATATCTCATCTTGAATTGTACTCCAAGAATTTCTACATGTTGTGGGAGGGACCCAGAGGGAGATAATTTGAATCATGGGGGTGGCTTCCCCCATACTGTTCTTGTGCTAGTGAATAAGCCTCACGAGATCTGATGGTTTTATCAGGGGTTTCCTCTTTTGCATCTTCCTCCTTGTTCTCTTGCCACTGCCACATAAGAAGTGCCTTTCACCTCTCGCCAATGATTCTGAGGCCTCCCCAGCTATGTGGAACTGTAAGTTCAATTGACCTTCTTTTTCTTCCCAGGCATGTCTTTATCAGCAGTATGAAAATGGGCTAATACAGAGACCCACTGTATCATTATAGTAATGGTGACTGAGAAATCCCTGAATCCACGAAGACCCCTAGGAGCTTGACAAGTGCTTACCTGGATCCTGCTTTAGTAAGCAGTATCACTCTCTTCTCTAAGGTCATCTACCGCATGAATGTGTTTCTTCTTGAAGCCTTTTCTGACCACTTGAGCCAACATTGATCTTCTTTCTCCCACTCTGTAATGCAGACAATGTGCACAACACAGCTTACCATATGATGTCTTAATTGTTGGGGTGCTTCTGTCCTGCTGGCATGCCTAGGTGATGAGGTTCAGCCAGTTGTTTTGTTATATTTGCCTGAACTCTTTTTAACCTTGTGACTCATCCACACAGGGTGGAGTAAGACTTGTTAAAGTAGTATTTGAAGATATGTGTGTGTTTGGGGTGGGGGGTATTGGAGTGAGGATATCAACTCTCTTTACCAATCCGGGCATAATAATTTGACTATGATTGCACCATGTTATTCTCCTTACCCTAAAATATATATTCAGTAATCATTTCAGGGGTTCTCAGAACTGTATATAAGAGCAATAAATATTCATATAACAATGGCTAAACCCAATTTGTAGAAATAACTCTACATAGCTTAATTTTTTAAATTTTTTTTTTCTGGGACAGAGTCTTGCTCTGTCACCCAGGCTGTAATGCAGTGGCATGATCTTGGCTCACTGCAACCCCCGCCTCCCAGGTTCAAGCAATTCTCCTGCCTCAGCATCCCAAGTAGCTGGGATTACAGGCGCCTGCCACCACACCCGGCTAATTTTTGTATTTTTAGTAGAGACGGGGTTTCACCATGTTGGCCAGGCTGTTCTCAAATTCCTGACCTAGTGATCTGCCCGCCGCAGCTCTACATAGTCTTCTAACTTAATCAATTATGTATTTAGCAAACTATAAAGTGTGCATAGATACTTCTTTCATTGTTAAAGCACTGCAGAGACTTTCAAACAATTTTATTTTATTTTTGATATATTATTTCTTATTTTACCAACATGCCTCTTTCTTCTAACAAAATCTTACACTGAGAACCAAGTACACGAACAGAAATGAGAAGAGGAGGAGTATGTGTGAAAGAGAGATTGGTGATAGCATCTCTATCTAAAGACAGAACATTGGGTGGTAGTCCTAAGGCTCCTCAGACATCCCCTCTCCACCTCCGAGCCCCTTTTGTAGGTATTTAGAGATCAGTGGCATCTATTGACTTCAAGGAAAATGAGTTGTGGAATGAGACAGGTCTGAGTTCAAATCTTGGTTCTGCTATGTATCCGCAATAAAATTATGAGCTAGTCTTTTGACATCTATGAGCTACAAAATAAGATAATATTCTAGTTATGATTATCTTTAAAGGGCTGTAAGAATTATCAGATATGTGGTCCAGAATATAGTATGTCTTCTTATAAGGTAGATGCTATTATTCTCTTCCGTGTTTCATGCCACAGGCACCTGATATCAGTCTGTGTCAGAATAACTGCTCTCTTAGATAACACGATTTTTCTTGGGTCCTAATGGAGAAAACAGAAATAGATCCATCACCATTTACACCTGATATTCATTGTTCCCAAGTCCCCAACTGCTTTACTACAAAATCCAAGCTTTTATAAGGTTACCTCCCCACAAGACTTTCAAGTATTCTCCAAAGCAAAGATGTGCCCTCTGGTTATTATCCACTGCTGTAACTTAAGCTTCATATCTTAAGCGGACTTCCAAAGTACTGCTGTGGGTTTGTACCTCACATTATTTTTGTACTTTCACATTTCCCAAAAAATATCCTAAGTTGATAATGAAGACACACTACAAATGAACACTGGTATAAGATAAAACTTTGACTACCCAGGCAAAGGGGAAAAAAATAGTCTTTCATTATTACTTGTAGCTAGGGTTCCGTAGAAGAGTTGCCTCAACTGAAGAGAATTGTAGTGGTGGCATGGTGTTCATGTCTGATGATCCCAGCAAGCTAGGGACACCAAGTCATGCTGGGGACACTCAGGTAGGTCAGAATTCTGCATTCCTCATCATTGCTGCCTCTAGACACCCACATGCCCTGCCACACTTCATTATAGCACTGATTTCAGGAAGTGAGTAGAATAGTGTGTTTTGGCTAAGCTCAGATGTGAATCAGAGCAAAGTTCCTTGCACTCCAAAGTATCACAGCATTAAGAAACACAGCTTTTCCAATGGCCACACCTAGCTCCCTCCTCCTGGGTACACACAGCCCACTGAAGAGATCAGAATAAGTTCTAGTATGAGGTAATAAATGTACAATGCATGGCTTTGTTACTCAGTTTGGCCCAAGAGATTTGGTCTTCCTGACTTCCTTGGTAACGAGTTTCCTTTTGGGACCTGCATTGTTGCTCCCTGAAATCTGGTCCCTGGTGCCCCGTGGTGCCCCCAGATAACCTCAATCGATGGTATAAATGATTTAAGTGGCATAGTCCTACTTCACTTGTCAGAAGTATCTGAGCTTAGATTTTGCCCAGCCAAGATACCATTTTATATAATAGATCTGAGTGGATATATATACCAATTGTGGATAATTCTCAATCTCTATATGCATGTGGTCAAAATTTACCCTTTAAACATAAGATGCTTCACCTATGATGTTCACTTTTTTACTGTTACACAGATTCATGCAAAAACTATGTGATAATATTCATAGGTATATGTACATTAAACACAAACTATATCTTTAAGTGTATTTACATTTTCACCCTCAAAACAATCCTATAATGGAAACACTTTGATTATGAGTACAGTATAGATAAGGAAACCTGAGACTGGAAAAAGGTAAGAAACATGTCCACAGTCACAATGTCATGGCAAGCCTGGGATTTAATCCCTGGTCTTTTTCTAAAAGACTATCAATGTGCAATAAATTAATTACTACATAAAGGTGACTTCTTTTTTGTAGTTGCATTATTAGTGTTTGTAAATTTTTTTTATGATGGTTGCTTCTAAGGCATTCTTTGATTTCACATTCATAGAAAATACAATGACATGTAAATGCATTGGAAATACAAAGAACGTAAGTGCAGATTCATAAATGCTCATCACTTTTAAACTTTAGTGTGTATCAGAATCCCCTGGAGGGCTTGCTAAAATACAGAAAACTGGGCTCCATCCTGAGTTTCTGATTCACGTTGTCTGGGGTGGGGCCTAAGAATTTGTATTTCTAACAAGTTCCAAAGTGATGCTGATATTGCTGGTCCCAGGACCACACCTTGTGAATCATTTCTCAATACTAAATGGAAAATCAGTCACTGTTATGATGTGAGCCTTATCATTGTTCAATAATTTTCATAAATACAGCATACTTTAAAAACAGTGGTTTTTATGCTCACTGTTACACAATACATGAGCTCTGAGCAGAATGCACAGCAAATGCTCATTTAGGACTCAGGAATGGATGACCACTTTATATCTGACTCTCAAGTATGCATTGTCTGGAATTACCACTGCATCAGGTGAGGCTCCCCATCCCACTCTCTTAGGTCGCTAGCTGAAAGGGAATTTGGGATGGACCACAAATTGATTACCTCCTCTCTCCTGTTGCCTTCCATAGTCCTAAATGGAAGTTTTTGTACCTTTGGACCTATTCGTGTGCCTGGAGCTCTCCCAGGAGGGAAAAGAGAAGGAGATTAGTCAACAAAGAGCTGTAGCTCCAGGTTCCTCCCCTAGAAACCCACAGAATTTTGCCCTTTCTCTGGTTTGCAGAGGAGAAAGGGTAGGCAGAAAGCCATCCTGTGCCCAGTAGTCCATCCTATTTCCATTGGGCCCTTGTCTTCTGACTGCAATTTGCACCTTACCCAGGTGTGAAAACCTTTCCTGGGGCATGGAAGATGCAAGCCCCTCTGTCAGCAGCAGGTTGAAGCCACTGTCCTCCTTGTTACTGAGAAAGTGAGTCTCTAGCTCGGCCTCTGATTTCCCTCAGACACTTGAACTATTCATACTCTATTAGACACATATGAAGGAAGGAAATTGGACTTTCTCAGGTTTCAGATATATCAGCAGGGATGTATGACTGAAAATTAATTCCCTGACACAGACTGATGAAGCCGGCGGTTTCCTCAAATACTGGGATATATTTTATATTTTTCATAACACATGATCTCAGTGTTACATGTCTTCCCTAGTTCAAAATGCTGATGTTTTGACAATGGGACACAGAATCTTCCATTTTTATAAACAACTTTCTTGTTAATTAGTCAAAATATCAAGAAATTGGTCAGTTTGTATAGTAATGAAAAACTCTAATAAAAATCTGCATATCTTCTAATGAGTGCAGAATGTCATTTAGCTATAAAGGACCAGATGAACTAATGCACTGTTAGATCTGGAGTTTGGCAATAACTGAAAACAAAACATCTCTTCTCTTAGTGTGTTTTTTTTTTTTTTTTTTTAATTCCCA
This sequence comes from Homo sapiens, assembly GCF_000001405.40. NCBI lineage: Eukaryota > Metazoa > Chordata > Mammalia > Primates > Hominidae > Homo > Homo sapiens. The sequence goes on along the minus strand of NC_000002.12, from coordinate 21,977,237 downwards.
AGGTCTGCTTTTTTCACGTGATATTTTTTCGTCTCTCCTAGCAGTACTAGTTTAAGTACTGCTAGTCATACAAGCTTCACTCATGAGGTATTGGTGAATATATTCTTAAACCAACTTTGTTTATTTTTACATATGATATTATATCATTTTCATTTGATGTGTATTCATTTTAGTTTACTATACTAAAGTCTCATATGTAAGCTCTGGAGGTTGCATTTTAAATGTCCCTTATTATCCATGGTTTCTAGAGCAAGTTCCTTTATTTTTCGGATCCTTTGTCTACTTACTTGAAGAAAATTATCAACTGCTTTATCTCACATGGTTGTGCTGATGGAAAAATGCCTGATGTATGTTAAAGAACTTAAAAACCTAGGAAATGTCATGCAAATTTCTAAGACTTGTCATTACTGTGTGATTGTACTAACCCATATAGAACTTTGTAACAGAAGAATCATGTAATCAAGATGATTAAAATCTATAACAAGGATAGCATCTAGAGGAGGCTCAATATATTGACTAAAAGATAAGACTGAAGGATTTAATGAGGGTTGACAGGACTCTCTTGACTGTACATTGAAGCCAAATAATTGGGATCTCTCTGCTATGAACACTTGACATCAGAGAACACTTCTAGAAACCAAGAAATATATTTAGCAGAAAAAAAGGAAAAACAAATATTCAACAAGACAGAGATTACCGACATCCTGGAAGTGAACCCAAAAACAGATTCTCTTCAGCTCAGTCACAGCCCACCCAGAGATTAAAAGCAGCAGTCCTTTGTGTAATTTAAAATACTGAATAATATTGGAGCTGTAAGTCTTGTGGTCCCCGATCAACCAACCCCCTGAATCTCCCTGGGTTTTAAACAAATTGCTTTGTAGAGTAAGTATTGAAAGAACTTTGAGTAGACCAGTCAATCTTACTAAAAACACGTGAAGGAACTCATTGCACCCCCAGTGAATGGCTTTTCAGAACTCAGTTTGGGGTGCGTATGTGCATATGTAAGTGTCTCCTTTTGGTAAAGGAGAGACAGTATAAGCAGTGGCTAGTATTTCTGGAAGCAGTTATCTCTGCACTTTAATTCCTTTTGTTAAAATTAAAATCTAGAATAGCACTTAAATAAAGCAGCCTGTGGTTTCTGGAGAGATGAAAGATGACGTATTTGGGCTTATTGGCAGATGGCATCAGGAAAGAAACTGTGCATTAGATAGTGCCAATGATAAAGAAGGGCGGAAGCTACTGATACCATTCACCTGATTCCACGGTGCATTACTGCTGGGTTGGAAGAATCATTAGGAGAGCCAGTAAAGAAGGAGGGTGGGTGGTTGTAGTGGAAACATGAGAAAAATGTCGCCTTTTGAAATATTTTCAGAAAATAGTGTACTTACTCATTTGGTAGAGTATTAAGACTTGCAGGGCAATACTCACCAAAGACTTTCAGAGTCCAAGACCCTGTCAATCTTGAAAATGCATTTGCCTTGAGCTTTGAGTGTGCTAGTGGTGGGGGGTTAAGTATTCTCAGGTCTTTTGTAGAAAGGAGCCATTTGAAAGTTCTCAAAGGAATCTCTTACATATAGGCAGTTTCTTGAGTGTTATCTTTTTCTCTGTTTAGCTTGCTAATCTGAAAATAGATTTAAAAAACAGCATTTTTTTTTTTACTATATTGAAACATCAAATAAATAAGCTTTCTTGAGCCGATCCATCTCGGTTTTGTGCTAGGCATTGTGGCACTATATGTGGAGACATATACTACAATAATGGAAGAATGCACTTTACACCTTGAGCTTGAGGAATTAATGTTATGTTAAGATGTTTGCATGTACCATATAAATAAAAGGGAATGCCACATTATTTACCAAAGATGTGCACTATAAATTGTTAGTAATACTTAATATTTAAGGGGTAGCCTGACAGGGGAGACTTTAATTTAGTAAATATTTATCAAATATCTTTACTTATCTCTTCTTGATGACTTAGAACATAGAGATAAGTCAGCCACAGTCTTTGTTCTCTGGTTTCTTAAAAATCTTTACAGAGGTATTGCCAAATAGGACAATGAACATAAAAGTATAGGTTAGTAGTCAGTCTGTTATTTTTATATGGGAAGGTTAGAAATGAGTTAAAGTTAACTCAATTCTGGAAATAGCCTGCCTGCTACATTTTAATCCTAGTGCCACTGCTTTCCTAAATGAAAGCCCCAAATTGCCCATCATTTCTATATAATTTCATATTGAAAGTTGGGAAATAGCTAGGCTGAGTTAGCTTGATCTGATAACTCACTCCGTTTTCTCTCCAAGGCGCTAAAGCCTTTTTTGAGATCTCATTCCCCTTGATAAAGACATTCTGAAGTGATGCTTTTTCTGTCCTCTATTATGCAACAGACCGTTTGTTCACAAAGAGTGAGAATTGGAAAGAAAGAGTTTAGAAATCTCGCCGTTGTGGAAACTAAGACCTACTGTTACTCTTCATTTTCCTCTACTTGACATGCCCACAAAGTGCTATTAGTGCTGTTTCTCAGAGAAGTAAGAAATTCTGCTTAGTTGGTTTATCAGCAAAGGCTTCATGAAATGATTGGAATTTGAAAAGAAGTCTCAAAGCAGATTAATATTTTGATGGCAGTGATAGTGGAGACAGGACATTCCACTTGAAGTGGAGAATATGAGTGGAGGTACAAATATAAAACACTGTGGGACACAACAATGGCAGTGCATAGTTATAATTTGTGAGAACTTATCATACATTGATGTAAAAGTACTAGGTAAATTCTGGAATGTAGGTGTCAATGAAATTTTGGAAAGTGTTAAATGCTAAGATGTATGTTTCCAGTACACAGTGAGAGAGTCATGGAATGTTTGATTGGAATGTGGTTGAAATTAATCTCAGCAAAATGTATATGGCTGTCCATCTGTGAAATTATTTGGAATAAGGCAAGCAAATAATGGGCTATGAAAATAGTCAAGGCAAAATATCTGAGTCTGAATTAATTAAATGGCAATTGCCGTGGAGAAGCATGAGCACATAAGACCAATATTGTGAAGGGAAAATTCTGATTGACTTCACATATATGAGTGGGAATATAGTGAGTGGCTCTGATGAATGTGAGGAGAAATGGGAAGGTAAATGAAGATGACTCCAAGAGTAGGTGTCTGGTTGATCAGGAACATGAGGGTAACATTGCTGGCAAATGGATAATCAGAACGAGAAGTGGGTTGTTCCAGATGAGGGATGCACAGCCACTGGAGGTTTAGATGTTTCAGATGCAGGTGTGTATACATTTGCAAAGCTATATTTTAGAATGATGAATCTGCTGGGAGTAAGAGGGTATCTTGAAGGGGATAAATCCTTTGAACATCAGGTTGGTCATTGTTAAAAGCTTCACAAGGGCTAGGCACGGTGGCTCATCCCTGTAATCCCAGCACTTTGGGAGGGTGAGGCAGGTGGCTCACCTGAGGTCAGGCATTCGAGACCAGCCTGGCCAACATGGTGAAACCTTGTCTCTACTAAAGGCGGATCACCTGAGGTCAGGAGTTCGAGACCAGCCTGGCCAACATGGCGAAACCCTGTCTCTACTAAAAATACAAAAATTTGCCAGGTGGGGTGGCATGTGCCTGTAATTCCAGCTATTTGGGAGGCTGAGGCAGAAGAATCGCTTGAATTTGGGAGGTGGGTGTTGCAGTGAGCCGAGATCGCACCATTGAACTCTAGGCTGGATAACAAAGCAACACTTCATCTCAAAAAAAAAAAAAAAAAAAAAAAAAAAAGCTTCAAAACGCTCATTCCCAAATGGCAGGATACATAGTTAGGAAATAGTGAGGCATCATGGTGAATAATGCTGACTTGTGATTGTATAACTACAAGGGCTTGTGTCTAGCAAATGGTCATGCATATAGATTTTTAAGAACAATTTTTGGGAGCATGGAACCTACATAATTTAAATACAGAAGTCAGTTTTTACCAGAAAAAAAGAAAAAAAAAAAAACAGTCCTTACTAATTCTTCAGGAAGGCATGCACACATCCACAGGCAAGGAGGGGAGAACTCCATGTATTTCCATTGAGGGCCCCCCATAGTCAAAGGATTAAGACAAGAAAGACACTTATTGATAAAGAAATTTTAATAACTGGAAGGAAAGGATAACACTTTTCAGCTTACAGAACTTGAGTACAATTACCTGACATCTATTTTTAAGAAAGAGAAGGAAATTTAATTGAATGCACAGTTAGACATCTATCAAAATGAATTTTCTTTAAAAACGTCATATAACAATATCCCATTTCTCTCTCAGCATAATGATTTCTTACCAACAAAGCCTGTCAGTGTTTCCTAGAAGCAATATTGAAGTGACTTCTTGCTGGAAATTCAGCAAATGAACTTTTTTTGCTCCCAGAATCTCTCTCCTCATTAGGCTAGTTAGAAATTCGCCCGGGGCTCCCAGCCTGTCTTCTCTCTGATGGATGCTAAGTGTAGAGAAGCTAATGGACACTTTAACCATTAGGGGGCTTTCGATTCAATCCCCTGTAGCCTGGCAGCTCACTCCCAAGTCCTTTCAGCAGAGCTGCAATCATATGCACAAATATGATGGTTAAATATGGGCTAGAAGGAAAAATCACATTTTTTTTTCTCATGATAAGGGAGATACTTGTTAAAAATGGGAAATAATCTGTGAAGGTATTCAACAGGCTGGGACTTTCACCCCTTCAAGAGGCCCCTCCCACTGGACTGTCCCTACAGCAATTTGCTCCTTGCAAGGAACAAATGGGGAAGGAATCCCTTTTACCATTTCCAGGTGTGCTGATAACAGCCTCCTCCTATGAACCATCATATAATTGTTCTTTAAGTTACCATCTAATAGCAATTACTAATAGAATATAACAGGCTTACAATAGTTTGAATTTCAAATGAAAAAAACCTGGTGAGTAGCCTCTAAATGTGAAACATGTTTTATGTAAATATGTGTTATCTGTGAATAGGTTTAATTAGCCCTATTCCAATTACATTAACTTTCTTAGACTTTCCCTTTCCCTCCTTTGTACTCTTCCTGCCCTAATATCAGCATCAATAAATTGGTCAGTGATTGTTCTCTGATTGTCTATGCCCCGTTTTTTTTTTTTTTTTTCTCCATCATGTCAGAAGGTTTTTAAGTGATCATTTATTTTGTTTCTACTTCTCAGTTCTCCTCCAACAAGCCTGGCCCCGAAGCTCTGACTTTACAATTCATAATTGTGTTCTTAATCTACAAGTTAAATTTGGTTGGGGAAAACATGGGCCTGGTGTTTTAGACGGTTTAGATTCAATAATCCACAAATGTCTAGACATTCAAATAAGGTCAGAAAAAAAAATCTATTCTTTGAAATTTATTTAGCAATTCCAGACATTGATTTGGAGAAATGTGTCTTCCACAGGCAACTGAAAGAGAAATCCGTTCTGATTCTAAATATGCATCAAAGTGGCGAGACCCAGACCATCTTATCTATTTAAATGGAAGATCGTTTTGAAAGGTATAAAGATGCTCCTTCAAATCTGTCTGGTGCCATAGCATCAAGGCACAATTTATCCCAAATGACTGCCATTGCTGTGAGGCAAGAGCTGAATGTAAAGAGGCACTGGAGCTCAGAATTCAACACTGATGGAGTTGTTTTCCCCAGAATACTACCCTCATGATTTCTTCAAGTCTATTGACTTTTTTTTTTTTTTTTTGAAAAAAATAAGATGCATATTTTGTTCGGTGGCGCAGGACTTTCTGCTACAAGATCCAGCTCATGTGTCTCTGGTGACTACATAAGAATCAGAGCTTTCTGAATCTATGGCAACAATGTGTTCCTGTTCTAGTAATAGCGTGTCTTATTGTTATCTCTGATGGCATAACCTAACATAATATGACACATACTAGAAGAAGTAGTATGACAAAGTGGATCAGGCAGGCAATGCTGCACATGACAAATATGACATCTCATCTGAAACCAGTCCTGCATTTAGCAGATACTAACTCAAAGGGCATATCACTCTTGTCCATATCCTTCAAGCTTTTTGGTGATAAGAAGGCCACGTAAAGGCCACATCTGTTATAGGCATAGAAGTAAGCAGTATCAGGGTCGTAACAAAAGCAATGTTTGAGAGGTTATGTGCCCAAGAAATCAGTTGAAGGAGGTGTAATTAGGTGGTGAGAGTGAAGATAAGCTATCTATCCCTTCTACCACTTGGTCTCTAGGACTGACAGCTACAACAAAGCAGTTAAAGTTGTGCTTCAAGAAGATCAAGTGGAGTGGACACTGCTGAGAAAGCTTTGATCTGTACCTTTAATATTTCACTGCAGAGAACTTCACAATTTGGTTCAAGTTCATTTCCTTGTTCAACTAGTATAGTTCATGCCTTCATTACATCCATCAGCCAGGATCTGGTCAAAAATATAGAAACCACTTTAAGAATTTCAAACAGAAGAAAATTTGGTACAGAAATATATCTAAAAATTGTTAGAAAGGGTTACAGGAAACACTAGGAAATGGTACAATCCAGAGATCAGAAAGTGGGGCAAGTATCTGAAACCCTTCTTCTAGGACTAGAGAAGCAAAAGAGAGAAAATAGAACTAGTGCATCAACCCTACCTACAAATGCTTTTTGAGCCCCAATTTTTCCATCCTTTTTCTGCTGCTTCTGCTGATGGGGACTGATCAGAATCTAACTGGAAAAGGAGTCCAAAGAATGTCATTTTTAATTTTCCAACCTCCTCAATACAGAACAGAGAACAAGGGGTAGAAATGGAGTTTAGTACAGACAGACACTATTTGGCCTATTATGCTTATTTTAATGAAAGGTGAACAAGGCAAGGATACATTTACATGTGTATAATGTATATATACATATACATGCATATACATGTACACAAGTAACTACAATATGTAGTGACAATGTGCTAAGCTTAAGTGTCAGGTAAGGGTGTGCTTATTCCTAGTTGTCTTTATATATCTGGGACCAAACAATAACACCTGCTATGTGCTTTTATTATTTGGAGGCAGAGGATGCAACATTTTCTATAGATATGGTATATTTAGCTACAGTACACATCAAATGCTTTAATATGGTTTACGCTTTAATCTTATTTGGCAAAGGTTTTGCAAATAATATTAGCAGTATAGTTCTTCTCACTTTGGAATGGATTTAAAATACTGTATGAGAACTGATATTTTGCTACTTACTGTCTCTTCAATTGTGGCACAATAAATGCTTGATATTTAAATTAAAGGTTGACCCCTCATGCCCAGGGAAGAGAGTCACACACAGTTACTATGTTATTAGAAATGGTTTTTTTTAAACCCACAGTTCCTTTTTAAGAGTAGCATAGAGTAGGAGAAAAACAAATTGTAAAAAATTAAGTAATTTACAATGTGAGTCTCAAAAGGAATTTTCTACAAGTTGTTGTTTTTTCATGGCACAGAAATGCCTCATTATATTGATCATCACTGAGAAGTGAGCTATTCTACTTAGCTGTTTTTTTAACATGACTACCTTCTTTAATTTTAATTATTGCTATATTTAAAGAGTAACATTTATTGTTTTCTTGCATATAAAACCAACATACAACAGAGGAGTTGGATCAAGACTGTAAACTGAGCCCTTTTTTTTTTTTTTTACTTTTCTCTGCACTAAAAGTTAACTGAAATTGCAGAAATAATACTTTTATATAAATAATAGAAAGTAAGAAAAGGTACAAAGCACAAACTTTTAGGAAATTCTGGAAGAGAGAGAGTGGTTGGGATAAATTTTCAGAGGGATCAAAACATAGAAAATTGCCAAATACCAACAAGAACACTCTTTTTTACATAAAGTTGAGAAAATCCAAGCTTTATAACAACTTCAAACCCAGTAGAGGCCTGTAGTAGAGTCAAATTACTGAATTTGGATAAACTGGGCAATATGGATGCTTTCAGCTCTCCTACTTATATGATTTTGTTTATCGTGTATGTGCATGCATGTATGTGTGTGCGTGTGTGTGTGTATATGTGTATGTAAGCGTATGTGTGTGTGCGTATGTGTGTTTACGCAGGTACATGTTTTAGTTTTATTGAGAAACTAACATGATGCTAAGATTCCTTCGCTTCCTTGAGTAAAGATTTTTAAGGCCAGATTATCCTTTAGAATCTCAGTATAATTTTATGTTGTCAAATATTTTCTTAGGTACTTATTTTTAAATTTAGTCATTTAATTGAAAGAGGTAAATCTGTGGTTAATATTTGGCGGTACATGGTTAAGTAGGGGCATGGATTTGACTCAGTCTTTTTATCTTGTCCAGCTTCTAAGATCATTGTCTGGAGGGTCAGTGGATAGGTATAACAGTTTAGCAAATTTGCAGTGTCTTGTAATCCTGATGGAAACTGTTCTCACTATCTGGTTTTGTTTGTATGCTTAAAAAAAATTAGTGTACGTAAGTAAACCTAAAGAATATGTATTTAGAAGTCCTTTTCTAGAAGTAACATGTCAAAATCTAAAACCAATAGAATTCATCACTTTTTACAAATCATTTAAGGTCCACCGCCTAGCCATTTTAGCCATTTGCCATGATTTTAACTTGGAATTTCGGTTCCAGACGAAATGTATAAGTTGACGTTCATGTTAGAGGGTAGGAGGAAGAGGTTTTCGGGAATGAAATGGCCCTGGAAACTTCGGAAATTACTCCCATGTAGTAAGGGATCTCTGGGGGTAAAAATAGAGAGTTTTATGACCTGCCAACTTGTTTACGAATGTATCAAGTCATGGTGAAAATGTCTACTTTTTTTCTGTCTAGATGAATTGTTCTTTCCCAGGATCACAATTGTGCTGTGAATGTTTAAATTTCATCCTAAATTTTTAACAATAATTTCCTAAATTCCAAGATAGTTGAAACCCAGCATCCCTCGTGTATCTTCACATTTATTTCAATCAAGTAGTGCTATATAATCACCTTCTTAACTCAAGTTCAAGGTAGATATTATCCTCATTTTGAATATAAGGAATTTGTTCCCACAGAGCAATGTCACAATTTTAAGCAATTTCTCAGTAATCACATAGCATGAAAAGTGGTAGATCTAAAATTTAATCCAAGTCTCAATGTTTCTAAAAACCATGCTCTTTATTTCCCTTTTAAAATTTATTTTTCACCATAGTATATAATCCTTAATAATATGTGATTTAAAGTAGGGCCTAAAAGGTGGAAAGGTGGAAATTTTAATACCCAGAATGATAGTGGTAAGCACACTGAAGGAGGAGAATAGGTAAAGATAAAATCAGAAGCAAGAACTCACATAGCAATCAGGAAGACCTCTACTTTCTCTGGAATGTGGAACGTATGTATAGCAGTAGTGTAAATAAGACAAAGATGGTAAAGGTATTGCACCCCAAGCTATTGTACCCCACACTGAGGGATCTACAAGAGCTTCTGTAGGAGTGGAGTGTCATTACAGTTGACTCATCTTTGTAATCTAGCCATGTATGCTGTACATCTTGCAGTGGAAGAGATTATAATAATGATAAAGCAAGTTAAGAGCACTTTGTGGTTGGTGTAAGTCACATGTGAAATAAAATTGTTTTACTTAAGGAGATTTTTGAAGAAATATTTAAATACAACATGATTTGTACACTGCTTGCTTAAATAATGTTCATCACCTTCACCTAAGAATTTGATAGGCCCTTATTTTTAAAGTGAAAGGATAAATTTAATTGTAGAAGTGCTGAGAATGGGGAGATGACAAGTCACCCAGGAGATGATGTTCAATAAACAATTTTGGATTAGATCCATCACAGAGCAGAGGACTGAATTTTAGAGCATTCCAAATAGAGGTGGTGACTGTATCCAGTACATAGCAATTGTTCAAATATTTATTAATTAAACTGAATTGAATTGCATTGAACTGAATGCAGTTGAACAGAAGCATCAAATACAACAGAGAAAAAGTAAACAATTAGAAAGACACAAAGATAGCTAAGTCGTAGTTTATAGAAGTACAGGAGGAGCAAGAAGTAATCACACAGGACAAGGCAGAGCAATGCCTGAAAGGAAGACTCTGGAAATGGTCACACAATGGTCAGTATGAGATCCAGAGGTCAAGGAATTCTGAAATATGTGAGTGGTGAAAAAGTAGAGCCAATTAACTATAGGAATATGAGAAAGACATGAAATAACAATCTTGCATTAATGTTTATTGAATATATACTCTAAGAAATACAAAAAATATATAACAGTCAAATGTCTTTAATGGGTGCAGGTGTTTGCGGCTTGCAAGGCAGGGAATTGGGCCAGGAGCTAAGATAATAATGAAATGGATCCAATATAGCAAGGGTACCCAAACCCAGGGCCACAGATTGGTACTGGTTTGTGGCCTGTTAGGAACCGGGCCGTACTGCAGGAGGTGAGCAAGCATTACTGCCTGCCTGAGCTCTGCCTCCTGTCAGAGCAGCGGCAGCATTAGAATCTCACAGGAGCATGAACCCTATTGTGAACTGCGCATGTGAGGGATCTAGGTTGCATGCTCCTTAGGACAATCTAATGCCTGGGGATCTAAGGTGCGACAGTTTCATCCTGAAACCATCCACCCCCACCTCCCTGCCATGCTCCCAGCCAGTCCATGGAAAACTTGTCTTCCATGAGACTGTTCCCTGGTGCCAAAAAGGTTGGGGACTGCTGCAATACAGAACCTATTCTTGAGGAGCTCCCATTTTTTCTATGAAAGATAAAACAAGTACACAAGTAGAAAAATGAAAGTGCCCTCAGAGAAGCCAACAATTTTGCCTTTTCCCCAAAGACATTCCCATTCTAGTGACATCTGGTGCTTCCTCATTAATTCCTGGGGAATGAGACGACCAGATACATTCTTTCTTTATTCGCTGGACACTATGAGCTCAGGGACTTTATCTGCCTTGTTCCTGCTGCTTGCTCAGTTCCTAAAACAAAGGTTGCTTAATAAAACACTTAAAAAAATGACGTAATGGATGGATTAGTAAAAGAACGGATCCCTAACCATTGTTCAGATGAAATGCTGTTTTACTTGACCTTCTTTTTCCAGTTGCATTTACCAGTCTATGTATTTCTCCTACTACGTCAACCCTTGGGGAAAAAAAAAAAAAAGTAATACTGTACTCAGCTGTCCTGTTTGAAATCTGCCACATTGTATCTCTCAACCTTGTGTTCTTAATTTGTTCCTTTAACATCATAGCAGCACGGCCCAGATAACTTACAAATACAATAAATGATACTGTTAGATTCTTTTGAAAGACAGAAAAATGCGATTTTCTTCACTTCCTCAAAATGATACAGCTTTTGAAAATATTAGACTTTTTACCAACTTCTGAATTCAGAGCTAAAGAGTTACCTTTCAATTACTTTCCACATGAACATAATGTGATTTGATATTGTCACCAGGTTCAGATAAATGGAAAATTATTTGTAGTTAGTTAGTCTGAGAGGTACTGAAGAACTCTGTAAAGCTGATCAGGTTTTGCTAGACTTTGAAATTCTTGGGGCCCCCGCAACCAGCAGATACATCCAATTATTTGAAAGGGTGATGAAAAAAGTTGGTCTGATTAAACTGAGACCATTCTCTGACTTCCTAAGCTCTCAGACAACTTAGGAACCAATACACACTGCACATGTCTCTTTCTGAAATGTTCTCCGCCTTAGTTTTTATGAGAGAGTGAAAGCACAGTTCTGTAATATATGAAGAAATCTGTGGATTCTGTAGAGACAGGAACAGCGTGACATAAATCTCAGGAAGGCATCTTATTTCACAAATTTCCCATTTGATTCCTGCTATTGTGTGAGGCTGGGCTCTTCATCTCTATCAAAATCAGTCTGGAAGCCTTCTGAGATTGCCTCTAGAAAAGCCAATACTCCCGCGGATTGGACCACAGATGCTGTAAGTCTGAATGTACATTTAAGTATTGGTGTGCTTTAAATTTAAATGCATGGCTAATTTTGTATCTATCATATCTTTATAGAGTACTAAGAGGATTCCTGAGAGAAGCAGCATTAAATCCACTCTTGGGGACGTTTTTGGGGGAGTAGGGGAATCAGATAGTCATATCTCTAAGGAAAATATGTTGTAAAGACCAGGGGATATGGCATAGAATTTAATGTCAGACTTAAAAAAAAATCTCATGAGCTGGAGAGGGGAGAGAAATATTCATACAAAAAGCATGACTTATGAGTGTTAAAGGCCAGGTGTAGAACAGATAAGGCAAGGAAGGACATAGGTAGTCTAGTGATAAGAACAGCTTTGGGCACAGATCCAAGAAAGACAAGGGAGTGGAGGATCCATGTCTAGCAGGAGTGCCTGGGAGAGGTGCCACAGGAGAGCCAGAAGCATCTGAATGTGTCCATACACAAGGAATTTTCTGTTTACTCTTTACAATAGGGTGGGTTTTCTGCTTAGTGGAAGCATTTAGGTTCAACATCTATACATTTAGAAGCCACTCTATGTCCTTGATATGGAAGAAGATTATGATAAAAGTAATGTTTTCAATTAGATCTACAATATTTATTGATAACATCAAATATTGTAAGGACTTAGTGCATATGGGACACTGTTCCTCTATATCTATGAACTAGTTTATCCCTCAAAACAATTTAATGAGACTGCTACCATTATTTCTGTTTCAGATAACCAAACTGAGAATCAGAAACGCTAAGTAACTTGCCCAAGAATGCATAGTAATAAAAGGTAGGATTGGGAAAAAAAACTTAGGCATTTGGGCTCCAGAGCCTGCTAAATCCTAAGCTAAAAGCTATGCTAAGCTTTTTGTTTGCTATATATTTTTAGATAATAAAGTTTTTACAATAAAATAACTTTTAATAGTTTTATATTATTGGTTACTAGGGATATATCAGAAGGTACTCAGTTCTCTTTTGGGTAAACAGTTTGTTTTCATTTTTTTTAATGCTATGATAAGCAAAGCTTCATGAATTTTTATCTTTGCAAACACACCTCCAGGAAAAATCAGTTCTTAGCAGTGAAATGACTGACTGGATCAAAGGATATGCATATTTTTAAGGATTTTGACATAGGCTGTCCTAAATCACTTTCCAGAAAAATTTTTCCCAATTTGCATTGCCCCATCAGATACTGAGATGGTAACTTTCTCTAAATTCTCACCAGAAATGATTATCTTTTTTAGTTTTGACAGTTTAACAATTTCCATGTTGATCATTATAGATTCAATTGGAATTTTTGATTATAAAAGTTAAACAATTTCATATGTTTAATTCTAATTTATATCTCTTCTGTGATTAAGTGATCTTAATAGTGTTTTGTAAGAGTACAGTTAACACTCCCATTGTTATAGCAAATGTTTTCCTTAGATATTTAATTTTAGAGGTTTTAGTGGTAAAAATGCTTTTAAATTAATAGTCCAATATATCAATAGTTTTCTCTAGCACATTGACATTCAGTTTGATGCTCAGAAATACTTTGTGTAGTCTCAAGATTATATAATTATTTGCTCTTACTTTGTAGTATGATTTTAATTTTTTAAAATTGATTTATTTGGATGAATTATCTAAAGTAGAGGGATTGCTTTTGTTTTTTCTCAAATAATTAGCTGCTTGTCCCAAATTAATCAAGTGACTTTTCAGCCACTAGTGTCAGTATGACCATAATTTTTTTCTTTAAGCCGTTAACATAAAGCATAACAGTAATTCATGGTATTGAGTAATGTTGAATTAATAATTACTTTATATTCTAATATGTTAGCTCTTTTCCCTGAGACCTTTATCTTAATCATCAGAATGTTTTTTGTTTTCTTATTGGTAAATAACCTGAATTTAATTACAAAAATACTATAAACTTATTGCAGAAACAAATCAAACAGTAGGAAAAACAGAAGAAAGGTAATAATCAGTATTTGGTTTTAAAGTTCTATCCTTCCATCTCTGTTGGTTGCTGCTTGTAACACGCATTTTTCAAGATAGTGTACATATTGCTTTGTAATTGATAATTTATTTAGTTATTTCATTTAATATATTTTTAGAGTTGCTTTAGGTTTTTAGCAAAATGTAAATTACAAGGAAGACAAATTTAAATTAGAAGGAACATTTGTTGCAACTGATGAACCTACATTGATGCATCATAACACAATGCACACAATTTATATTAGGGTTCATTTCTGGTGTTGTACAGTCTATGAGTTTCAACAAATGTTTAATGATATGTATCAACAATTACAGTCTCATACAGGGTATTCTCCCTGCTAAAAAATCCTCTGTGCTCTGCCCGTTCATTCCTTCACATTCCACTCCGGATCCCATGGCCACCACTGATCTTTGTACTGTCTATCTCCGTAGTTTTGCCTTTTCCAGACCCTCATATGATTGGAATCATATAGTATGTCACCTTTTAGGATTGGCTTCTTCCACTTAGCAATAAGCATTTAATTTTTCTCCATCTCTTTTAATGGCTTGATAATTTCTTTCTAGTGCTGAGTAAGACTCCATTGCCTGGATGTACCACAGTTTATCCATTCACCTACTGCCATACATCTTGGTTGCCTCCAAGTTTTGGCAATTATGACTAAAGCTGCTATAAATATCCACGTGCAGGATTTTGTGTGGGCATAAGTTTCTAATCGCTTTGGGTAAATACTAAACAACATGATTGCTGGATCATATGGTAGGAGTATGTTTGTAATAAATATTTAAATCAACAATATAGAATTTTTTATAGCTAAATATACATCTATAGCATCAAGTGTAATAACTATATAGTTTGGCACCAGGAAACGTGTCACAGTTTATTCAACTAATCACATATTGTTTCATTTTCAGGCGTTTTTCAAATGTTGGGCCTATTAAAATAATATAACATTCTTATATACAAATCTTTGGGGAAAGACGTTGTATTGTAAGATATTAAAGCATATGTTTTCTGGGGAGTGTTCATGCTCTTCCCCTTCATTCTGCATAAAATACCCACACCAAAGTCCTCTTCCTACAAGTATTGTTTTACAGTAAGGAATAACTTGAGTGCAATGAGATGTATGAATCTTAAGTGGACAGCTTTTAAGATTTTGTTTAACTATAACCCCGTGTCATAACTACCGCAAAGGAGGCACCTTCCTATCTACCCAGCAGGTTTGTCCCTCAGCTTCCATGATCTGTCCTAATGTTTTTTTTAGCCAAAAGCCTGAAATGCCAGGTTGGGAATGTTTCTAGGTCTTTCTGCCCCATCTTTGGCCTGGAAGCCCAGAGGGCTCATGTTGCGTTCCTCTTAGCTTCCTTAATCTCTCCCTCACCCCCATTACTGGGGAAGGGGAATCCCTCTCAGCACTCTTGTTTTAACTGCCTTCAAACTTTGGCCTGCTCTCCAGATGCCCTTTGAAGGGACCTGAGAATGAGTTGGAAAGGTGTTTCCAGAGTCTTGCCATGTCAGCTCACACGTGGTCAATTGACAGCCTGAGGGATGTTCCATTGGGTTACCTCTTCCTCTTCTGCATTTCTTCTGCATTGCGAAGGATGACAGCAGCAGTCTCTTCCTTTTTATGAAAGGCTCCTCAGTTTCTGTCATGTAGTTGATTTCAATTTCTTTGTGTCCTCAATCCTCTAAATCCTCTAATCGGTTTTCAAAAACTATATTATATTTTCCCAGTTTCCTTTTGGTGTTTGGGGAGAATGTTACAGTCTATTGAAACTTTCTACAACAGAAGCAAGTGCAGGACTCCTAGTGTTTTTGATTTTGTGCCCCCCATCTATTTATATCTCTTTATAGCTATAGATAGATATAGATAGATAGAATCTATGTCATAGTTAAAGAGACAACTATCATCTATCTTATTTATAATTCTAGAAACAGTATATTTTCCCTCTTATTTCACTGATGATGCTCTGTGTGGATCTTTTAAAAATTTTACTTATTAAGTAAATCACTTACACTACAATTACTTCTGCTAATTTTATTAATCATAATTCTACCTTTCTTAAGCTCATTTTTCCAGATTCATAAGATTTACCATGTTGTTCTTTTATAATCTTACTTAAGCTTCCATATTTTTATAATGAACTTTGGGGATTCATGGGGAAAGGTTGGGAGGGGGGTAACAGATAAAAGACTACATATTGGGTACAGTGTACACTGCTCAGGTGATAGGTGCACTGCAATCTCAGAAATCAACACTAAAGAACTTATCTGTATAATCAAAAGCAGCTATACCCCAAAAACTATTGAAATAAAAAAAGAGCAAAAGAATCTTAATGGAAAATAAAAGCATGTAAGGCTACAAAATTTCCCCAGTTATACTTTTGTTCTCATGTAAAACATTTTAAATTAAAATTTTTCATAGTTCTTATCGATAGTATTGCAATAACTGTTTTAATTACTTTCCATGAAATTATTATTTAGCAAAACACTTTTTTGTCATTTCCTACTGACATATTCCTAGCATTGGAATATCCACTAGTACATACTAGCTACTAGTATTTCGTTGTGTATAAAATATTTACTGTGTATAGTTTAAGAGTTCTTTCTTGAGTAGAATATAGTATTATTCCTAAATCCTCTAGAAGCATTCAAAAAGCATGTTGATGCTTTGTTTATAGAACACAGAGTTCAATATCTACCAATTAAGTCTAGTAATTGATTCAAAATTTCCATATCTTTACTCTTTCTCCAATTTTGTTGAGGCATAGTTGACAAGTAAAAATAGTATGTACTCTAAGTTGTACAACTTGATTCAATATATGTATCCCTTGTGAAATAGTCACCACAATCAAGCCAATGAACATATCCATCACCACACATGGTTACTTTGTAATTTTGTATTTTTGTATGTATGTAGTGAGAACAGTTAAGACCTATCTTCTTAGAAAACTAAATTTCTAAAAAATGGAAATTCTGATAAATATTAACCTGTGTGAATTACAGACTACTGATAATGCAGGTAGAGGTAGCACTTAGATCTCTGCCGCAAAATATGATAGAATTTATTTCTATAAGAGAGTAGTGGCAATGGAAACGTGGCTCAATCAATCATCACACTCAAAAATATAATATGAATCTTCTATTGATATGGTGCTTTACCTTTTCAAACTTATTTTGTATGCATTCTCTCCTTTATTTGAAACAACTAAATGTTTGGGTAATGTTGTTCCTAATTCATAGATGTAGCGACTTACTTACAGAAATTAAGTAGTTTCCCTAGTATCACGCAACTTTTAAGTGGCCAAGCCAAGGCTTCAACTAAATTTTTAAGACTACTAATTGTCTTCCCACAGCACTGAAATTGTCTACATAGCAGTTAAAGGTCTTTCTACTCAATTAATTTAAGAACCCAGATCAAAAATGTATAGAAGTCCATAGCTTAGGTTAATTCAGCAGCTGATCCAGAGCCCTGGTTATTTTTATTTTTCTCCTTATGATGCTCAGCAAGTTCACTCTTGTCTTCAGGCTTATCCTCTTATAGTCTCAAGATGGGTGCGGTGGCTACAAGCATCACATCCTTACACTAAAGTACGTGGGGTGTGATGGTGCCTATCATCCCAACTCCTTGGGAGAATGAAGCAAGAGGACTGCTAGATTCCAGGAATTCAAGACTGCAGTGAACTGTGATCATGCCATTGCACTCCAACCTGGACAACAAAGAGAGACCTCATTTCCAAAATACATACACACACACACACACACACACATATATATATGTATGTGCATACACACCCACACACACAAAGAGACATTCCTTTTTTGGTGGAGGGGAAGTGCTATATATGTATGTTTGTGTGTGTGTGTATGTAGATACATATACACATATACCTATAAAGCATATGTATATAAATGTATATATATATACACACACACATATATAGTACATCCCCTTCACCAAAAAAAAAGTCCCTTCCTTATGTCACTTTTTAAGAATGAAGAAAATTTTCCTAGAAGACTCCTCAGCAGAGATCCTTCAGAACTCAGTGGCCAAATTATACAGCATGTTCAACCCTAATCAATCATGGGCAAGAAAAGTAAAATTACTGTTACTATGTTATAATTATCAAGATTTAGACCTCGAGACATGACACGCTGGCCTCTGATAATGAAAAAAATAAAACCACAAATTTTTATTGTCAAGAAGCAAATTTCTATTGTCAAGAATAAGGCAGGGAGGTGGCTCTGGGTAGGCAACAAACAGTGTCTGTGATACAGATACGGAGATTGAAGATAAGAGCAAGAGAAGATGAGTCAAAAACTATTACAGACCATGCATCCTGGGAAATAGATTATTTATTATAGAGAGAAATATGAAAAGAACAAAGAGGTGTCAGTCATGATGGAAAGATGATAGCTTTGGTTTGGCACAAGTTGGTCCGGGAGATGGGATTTTCAAAAGGAATTGCAGGCACATAGTTACAAAGTTTGAAGCACGCAAGAGCAGCCAGAGTACAGATTGAGTCTTAAAAACTTCTTCATAGAAGAAGCAATGTCAATGTCATGGAAGCAAGTAAGATTACTGAGAGACTGGAAAAGAACAAAAACCGAGTATTAAGAATCATTCCTAATTAAGACTACAGAGTTAGAAATATGAATAAATGAAGAAGGCACAAATGGAAACAGAGTAGATATCATTAAAAAAAGGGATATGTCATTCCATTGCAAATGTAGACTATTAGACTCAACATTGAATAATTAACATCTCCATCTTTTTTCTTTATAAGCAAACACTTAAAAATCTTTAAATATTTCACCAAGTGGTTGTGCCACAATTTATTTAATCTTTCTTCAGTTTTCAGATATTTTCTTACTTCCAGTTATTTTAAAAATTCATCTCCTTAACCTTCCACCTCAGAATCTGAGTCAAGCAGTATATAGACCCAGAAGAGGAGAATAAAGATGTTTTTAGCAAGAAAATTGGTTTAAAAACAACGTTTACTATAGAAAGAAACTGCTTGAAATTCTTTTGGTGTAATATGTAATAAGCTTAGCCAGCAATATATTTTTTTCGTTTAGTTCAGAGATGATATTTACCCTCGCAAAGGCTTAACCACAAGGCTGGATTCAGGAAGGGGAAGAAGAATGTGAAGTAAAGAAGATAAACTTACACTTGTGTTGGATGACTGTGGAAAGAGAAGAAAGGAAGGCAATGGAAAGAGAAGTAGTCAGATGGGTGTCTCAACAGTTATTTTTTTAGACTTTAACCCAAATAGGTCAAAATGTGTCATGATTGAAAACAAACAAAAAAACATTTTGAGTTCAGGAGTCAGCTCTTCTTCATCTGGTTCTTTACAGACATTTAGGAGCCCTGCATAATTAATGGATGACATTGTGCAGTTAGAGAGAATTCTAGTTTGCTTTTCTTAGCTTTCCTGAATTCTTCTGTGGCCTGGATCCTGCATGGCAGGGGCAAGGTGATCCTACAACAAAGCTGGAAGACTGATTTGGTAGGGTGCCTGATGGAGATGACACAGAGTCAGAAAGATCTAGAATTTGAACTAGAACTTAACATCAGTTGAGTAAGTGGGGGAGAGATCATTAAGCTTCATTAGAAATCAGAGGAATTTATTTATATTTTATAAAACTAAAGATATCAATGCCAGCAGAATGACAATTAATAATGTGGTAGCTTGTTTCCAAAGTGGCCACCATCTTTATCTCTTTTTCCTTTAACACAAGGCATTCTTCTATCAAGAGATAGAGGCTGTGCCTCTACTCTGCTTGAATCTGGGCTTCCCTTTGGAATTCACTTTACCAGTGGAATTTGGTAAAAGTAATGTTCCGGGATTTCTCGAGGTTAAGTCATTAGAAGTCTTCAAGCTTCTACGTAGGTGTCTGAGAATACCAGTCACCATGTTATGAGAAACCCAAAACATGGAGAGGTCATGAGTGGGCTCTCCATTTGACAACTTAAAGCAAGTTTTTATCCATGGACAGCATCTGTTATCAGCCATGTGACTGAGAGATCTTGGACATTAAGCTTCGTCAAGTCAAGATGATTCTAGCACTACAGCTGCAATCCTGAAATATGTGAGGCTGGAACTACTCAGCTGAGCCCAATGCACCCAGAGAACTGTGAAAGTTTCGACTTTGTTTTAATGCAGCAAAAGATGAGATTAGTCCAAACATATCCCAATGGATGACTCTGCATCCAAGCCCAAAGTGGATCTGAGGGCATCTTGGTCTGAGGACTCTTTCACCATATAGGCAAGAGGTCATGTAAACCACGTTCCCAAATGCATCTTAGAGCAGAGCAGGAGTAAGAAATAGGCATAATAAAGACTGAACATTTTTTGCCTAAATACTAATCATTACCTGAAATAATTTAATAATCATTACCTGAAATAATTTAAAAATTATTATACTAAGCTAAATGTTAAAACAATGAATATAGTAAGTGGAGGCTTATGAGAAAGACTATTATTTTCTACAGAAAAATAAATTTCATTTTTATATAGGTTACATTGTAATTAAACAGAGCACAGACCAGTTCATCACAGGCTGCTTTTGTAAATAAAATACTGTTGGTATTGGAACACGGCAACACCCATTTGTTTCTCATTATCTGTAGCTGTTTTTGTGCTACCACATTTGCCACAGACATTGTGTGGCCTAAACTGTTTTCTATCTGGCACCTTAAAGCAAAAGTTTGCTGATCTCTACGTAAAGTAAAATTTGGAACCATGACTCATTAATCATAAAAAAATTGCAATTATATTTTCAGGGTAAATTTCTAGAAGTGGAATTGCCAGCTACAGAGTCTGTGCAACATTAAAGACTTTCGTACACTTTGGTCCTAATTTATCTTCAAACTGTATCAGTTTACATACGATCATATCCAACATGAGATGGCTAAATTCCCTATATTCTAGGCAATCCAAGAGTCAACTGGTTAGTCTATATTCTGTTGTTTATAAAAAAGGACATTTTGTACACAATTTTAAATCTGTATTTATGATCATTATCTAGAATACTTTTAAGAAGCAGAATTAGAGGATCAAAGGACAGTGTATTAAAATTATATCCCTTGCTATATATTGCCAAATTAATTTCCAGAAAAGTTGTACCAAAATACTTCCCCTTACATATGAAATTGATATATTTCACTTAATAAATGTCAAAGAAATTGACATACATATTTTATTTAGTAGTCTCAAGTTGTTGACATGTTAGACCAAAATTATATTCCATTTTTGTTTTAATTCACTTTTTATTCCTCAGGAAATTCAAATATTACCTATAAACTTATTAACTATTTTTATCAATATAAAAGGCATCTCACAGCTTTTATTTTTGCCAATTATTTTTGTTTTCCTACTTGTGTTTATATTATGTGAATTCAATAATACATTTAAAAAATGTGCTTATGAGTGAGTCCGCTATTGGACTGTCAGTCCCATTTCTGCATTGATCTACTTCTATACTAGTGTTTTTCAGAAATAATTATTTTAGATAATAATACCTTTTGGCATCTGATAGGGATCAGATATATTTATTGTTCTTTAACTTGTGTTTATTCGTATGCATTTTCTCCCTAAGTTTGTTTTAGACACAGCCTGTCAAAAGCCACAAAAGTCCTTTTGAAATTTGCACTGAGATTGACTTGGTATGCTTGAAATGCCATTTAATTTTCTTCTAAGATGTTTGTCACTAAAAATTTTTCTGAGTTGATTATAAATTAAATGGTTTTAATGTCAGGACTGTAACTATCTGTTCATTTTAATAATAGTTTTGGCACATATTTTCGTTTTTATTGTTTCATTATATTGATCTTTCTCGTTGTGGTTTAATTCCTTCGTTGACTATTTTAAATGACATTCTTTATTGTGTAAATACTTAAGTAAAAATTTTGCCATGAGAGGAGAAAAAAATGGTAATTTTTTAATAATGTGAATATAAACTATAAATACAAACTATAATGTAGTTTAGAAGCTCTTGATGTTTTTAAATAATAATAGTTTGGGTATAAATGGGGCCTTTAATTGGAGGATTCAAAGAGTGCACATAAATCATTTTAATTTTTAAGATATAATTGTTTCAGGCTTAAACTTTATGGCACTCAGGGCTCATTGATACTTGGCACTGGGGATAGGATGGGTTCATGGTGTTTCTGACTTATTTACATATCAACCCAATAGTAGTCTTAGAATGAAAATAGGTTCAGTTCCTTGGTCCTACTAAGTTTTTGATATCTATGCTATGGCTAAATATTCCAGTCTTTTCTATATATCAGCTGCCGTATTTTTATCTTTACTGTATATGATGTTTCTATGATGTCTTCAGCTGAAATGATTATATCAAAATTATTTTGATTTTAGCTCTGTCTTCTGTTGCTTCTTCCATAGCCTGATCAAAAATTTATTTCACTTCAGTAGCCTGGAGACATGGGCTAGTCTAGAGGTCTCTCTCGTGACCAGGAGAATAGGATGCTGCAAAACTCTGAGTAACATCTGATTCTCAGAGTAACAGCCAATCTGAGAACTGTTAATGGAAATATGACAGCAATAATGGGGCCCTCAGTAGGCATTCTAGGGACTGGGCCATCAACCAGAAGTGCTAATCATAATTCTTAATTCCTTTTAAGATGGGACAACCAATAAAGATGATATCAGGATCCCTAAAGAGGTTCTTTGGAGAGAACCCAAAAGTAAGCACGACTTAATACTAGATGTTATATTAACCAAAACACAACAGACTACATTCATAGGATGTGCAGCTTGGGATGCAGGGATCTATGCCCACCAACCCAGGGGCTGCTGCTTGACTGCTTTTTTCTTACTGGCATCCCCTCTCCCACCCCTACCATGGATGGAAGGCAGTCATCTTTGAGGACAGATTTGGTACCATATTATAGGTCCCAAGTATAAAACATGTTTTTACCCAGGATGCCAGGATAATTTGCCTCTCCACCATAATTTTTATATCCCAATATACTTAGTCCCTGAGCATTGAAAAAGCCTATTGAAGAAAAGTAGAACATCACTAGTTCTTCCAATTTTAGACAAAAATTAGTGCCCTATCCTGACTCCAAAATAGGTGCCTTACAGTCTTTGTTTTTGAAGCGTCAGAGCGTGTGTAGACTGTCAGACAGGCCCTGGCCTACACTCAGGGGCATTCAAGCGGCCATGTCCTTCCCTCTGACATCTCTCTCCACAGCTTTCTTCTCTTGACTTCTTGCATTGTCTTTCTAACTTGTTTTTCAGTTTGGCTATAGTCTCATTCCCTCAGCTTTTTCTCAGCTTCTGATTCCCAGTTATTTGGCTCTAGTTTTGCTTCTCCCCAGGCATAGCACATCTACCATGACGATCATCTTCTTTAGTGAGCTCATCAGCTCAATAGTGGAGGTACAGGCATGAAACTGTCCTATTTTTCTCCAATAGCTGTTCCCAACTATGCTGTGGAAGTCTCTCCTTCCTAATGGGAAATACATATTCTAATAATACTTTCAGCAGATTCCATAACTATCTTGTCACTTAAGAGTCATTAAAAGTCAATACAATCCAGCTTAAAACTAAAATTGCATGTCTACATCAAAACTGTCCCTCGTCCATGGTTTGACAGATCTGAAGTGAGGAAGGAGTGGAGTGTGGTGTGACTCTGGTTTACATTCATTCAATAATATTTATTGAATATCTACTGGATGAAAGGTTCATATCTAGGCAATTAAAATCTAGGCAATTAAAATCCATCAGTTACTGTCAGAGTAGGACCTGCTATATAATTTGTGGGGCTCAGTGAAAAACAAAATTGCAGGACTTTGGCCAGAATCTTCCTCTTTCAAGAACCCACTGAGCTAATTTCCCACAGACAGCCAGACCATGGACTTTAAATGCCTGTGCAGGAACATTACTGCTCAGTACCTACATTGGGGATGGGTAAGAAATCCCCACTTAGCCACCTAAAGAACATATGTCAATTGCCAACCCAAGGCAAGAGCCACTGCTGCATTTCCACATTCTCCTGCTACCCAGGTCCCTGTAGGGATGGAGGGCAATGGTGAAATATAGACTCAGTGTCACCACAACTTCAAGGGTAAAGAAAGATGAAGCATTCCCAGCACACCGGGAGACTGAAACAGGAACATTCCTAGAGGCCAGGAGTTTGAGACCAGCCTGGGCAGGGTAACAAGACCTTATCTTTACAGAAAATTTAAAAAAATTATCTAGACATGATGATGCTTACTTGTAGTCTCAGCTACTCCGGAGGCTGAGGTGGAAGGATCAGGTCGCTTGAATCTAGGAGTTTGATGTTGCAGTGAGCTATGATCACACCACTGCACTCCAGCGTGAAGTGCGAGTGACAAAGACAGACAGACTCTGTCTCTAAAAAAAAAAAAAAAGGTCAGGCAGGACCCAGGAAGCCAGGAATTTTGAAGTATGCAGCCAAAAAATTATCCCAGAGAGGTAGCAAAAGTCAGGACAGAGCATGAAATGAGGCCCCTCCCAGCTCATGTTACACTGTCCTGACAGACTTCACTGACAAAACACATAAATGTACTAAGGATTCCAAGACATAAACCACAGAGTGTTAAGCTTCAAATGTATGTAGGGCCCTTATAAGCTCAGGGCCCTATGCCAGTGCCCTAGCATATGTCGATGGAGCTGGCCCTGTTTCCTGGTCAAGGACATTTGTCCTATGGGCTTTTCACTTCTGCCATAGGGAACAGAAAATAACTGACAGACATAGTGAAAAAGGAAGAATATTGCATATTACAAGGTGAGAAGTTGTAAGAAAAAAGGCAGCAGCATAACTGGGTGACAGTGATAAGGAGTTTTGGGAAAGGAAGCATTAACTTGGATAGGTGAGCCGGGCCTCCTTGAAGTAAGAGCTGAACCCAGGCTTGTGGGACATGACACCCGTGTTTGATCAAGCTAAGGGAGAAACAGAGCTAAAGACCCTAAAGTGCCTAATGTGCTTGACGAATGGTAAGGAGGCCAGTGTGACTGCAGCAGGATAAGAGAGGGCCAGGATGGTGGCACATGAAGTCACTGAAATAACAGAACCTAAATCACGTAGCATCTTCTAAGTTACATAAGAACACTGATTTGCATCACTGCAAAATGTTGAACAGATGAGTGAAATGTTCTGATTGAGGTTTTATATGCATTGCTTCTAGCTATATATTGAAAGGGGACCTTGAAAACTCGACCCTCTATTCAGATCAGGGAGGTATCACTGGGGAGTCAGAAGTGGTAGGACTAAAGGTATATATTGATGGAAAAGCCAAGAATGTTTTCCTGTTAAATAGGATATGGGTTATGAGAGAAGGGGAAGTGTTAAAGACGATTCCCAAGTTAATTTTCTGAATAACTGGAAGAATGAACTTACCAGTAACTGAGATAGGGAGGCTTCAGATAGAACAGATTTGGGGTCACGGAAAAATCAGGACTTGGTTTTGTACATGTTGAGAAATCGTCCAAATGGAGAATGAAGTTGGCAGTTTGACTTAAATGTTTGGAACTCAGGTGAGGGCTCTGGGCTGCAATGAGATAATTGTTCATTCACCATTACTAAGGATCCCTTACCTCTTCCCCCTTGTGCATGTCAATTTCTCCACAGCAATAAACGGTCTCTTACTCCATATGCCCAAATTTAACCCATCCATTTTTATTTACCTCATTGTCCACTTCCTCCTTCCTTCCATCCTTTCTTTCTCTCTTCATCACCTCCTTCCTGCAATAAATGTATAGTGATCATTTACTGAAGGCATCAGTATAATCTAGAGGTTAAGAACATGAACTCCAAATGCAAACAACTTGGAGTTTGAATGTGAAACCTCATGTACCAGGTGAGTGGCTATGGGCAAGTCACACAGCCCCTCTTCGTGTTACATGAGGATGAAAATAATACTATGATCACATTAGGAGCATTAAGGAGCTGTTGTACAAATGAAGCGAGCTTACATAATAAGGGCTTAATACAGCACCTGGAATAGAATAAGCACTATACAAATGTTATCACCCTATTATAATTACCTTTATTATTACTAGTCACCTATTATATATTTCCTAATGTCGTAGTGATTTGTCAAGGTTTGATTACCTTAAACTTCTTGAAGGAAAACATCATGTCTCACATTTGAATAATTACAACAATCCATTTATGCAATAAATGTTTATTTGGGAGTGTATTAGGCTCTGCAGAAGCAATGATGAGCAAGATAGACTTTATCTCTACTTCATGGAGCATACAGTCCCTGAGAAGGATGTTTAAATAAGTAATTATAACGAGTACTGAGAAATCTAATGGGAAACACAGCACACTATAAAGGCACATAGCAATGGTCATCCAGAGGAAGGGGAGGGGGGGTGGTAATTCAAGAATGCTTCTCATGGAAAGTAATATTTAAACTTAAATAAGTAAGAATGTGGAAGTTCTTTACAAGGCACTCATTTTTCTTCAGTTAATAATGTAAAAAAGACTGCAATTACAGGGTTAAATTGCCAGGACCCTCAGTTCCTTATTGATGGGCCAAATGGCTGGTATCATTGCTTCCAAAAGTGAATTGAACTTGATGGAGCTCATGATGAGAAATAAAGTTTGTGTTTTTATTTTTATCTTTTAATTCCCTTTATTCAGGAACGTTTTGAAGTCCTCTCATATGTAGGATGGATAAATCCAGAGATCTAATTAATACACAGTGTGAGGACTATAGTTAACAATATTGTACTGTGTGCTGGAAATTTGTTGAGAGAGTAGGTTTCAAGGGTTTTTACCACACAAAAAAGAAAGAAAAGAGAAAAAAGCAATTACATGAATAAATGGATTGTTAATTTTCTTGAATGTTGTAATCATTTCAATTTCACTATGCATATGTATACCGAAACATCATGTTGCATAACTCAAATATATACAATAAAAATAAATAAATAACACTGGTTTCTACGAAAGTACAAAGAGAGGAAACAAAGAGTTATACAGAAAGAGATAAAGAAAGGGAGGAGGCTGGGCACGGTGGCTCACACCTGTAATCCCAGCACTTTGGGAGGCTGAGGTGGGCGGATCACGAGGTCAAGAGATCGAGACCATCCTGGCCAACATGGTGATACCCCATCTCTATGAAAAATACAAAAATTTAGCTGGGCATGGTGGTGCGCGCCTGTAGTCCCAGCTACTCAGGAGACTGAGGCAGGAGAATCACTCGAATCCAGGAGGCAGAGGTTGCAGTGAGCCGAGATCACACCTCTGCACTCCAGCCTGGAGACAGAGCAAGACTACATCTCAAAAAAATAAAAAAGGAAGGGAAAAGAAAGAGAAGGAGACAGGAAAGACCCTTAATCCCTTATTTCTTGTCCAGGACTCTTGATCCTGCAACTCTTAATCTTTCAGTCCGTGCTACATAAGAGCTTGAAGAATGGATAAGTTTTAATTATTTGTATAGAATTCAATGGACTAGTTTACCATATATATTGCACAAGGTTATTTGGAGCTATTGAAGGATGAAGTGAGCAGACCATAAAAAAAAATTATAGAGGACCTGAAAATAAAACTTCTACATCATTGAAAAGGCACCTCCATCATTTAGTTTTAAGTACATTTTATTCTTTGAGAATGGGTGTCAGTGCAATAAGATCTAAAATTGCATTTTTATGCTGTAGATGGAATGCTGCTTTAAAAAGTGCTGATTGCAAATTAATCAACATTATTTACAAGCAGTTCCTGGGGGTAGGCAAAGAGGTGCAGAAATAATATTTTCTGAATTATTGGCCTACTATCATCACAGAAATGACATCCCATATAAAGTTATCACAAAGAGCACATTTCCAAAATAAATTATAAAGAAGATTAAATGAAATGGCAGAAAGGAAAATAGGGGTGGGGTGTCTATGGCATAAGAGACAGAAAAATGAAAAATTATAAATGATTGCACATAACAATTGTAGGTTTGAACTGAGAAACTATTTGAATTTAGAGAAACAAGATTGGAAAATGGATGAGAAATAAATCCCAGGCAGAGACAGAAGAAAGCTGTAGTATTAAATGTGCAGTCTGACTTCCTTCTGAAAAAAGTTGGGTCCTCCATGACCCAACAGACACATTTCACTGCAGAGGATATTTACAGTCCTTAGCCTACAATCTGGATTAATCCAAGACCCAATGACTAGAATATAAATGTGTGACTTAGATGGAGAAGTAGCAACCATTGGCTGAATTTTTATGATGAGCTTTGAAAATAGCTCCTTGATAATTTCTCCTACTTTTCAGAGAGCTAAGAAAGCCGCTCAGTCTTATAACTGGCAGCCGCTGCCTCTAGCTAATCACAGCAACCCCCAAAATTGGCATCATTGTTCTCTCTAAGGAAAGGCACAAGGTGCTCTACAAAACCTGAGAATGTTTCCCACAGAACCCATTCAGAGCCCTGGTAACAAGTCACTTTTTTTTTTTTTTTTTAAGCTCTAGCTATAGTGGAGGGACATCAAAAGCCAGGGAATAGATAACAAAAGATGTGTCTATTTGTGGCTGCAAAATTCTGACTCTAAGGAGCTCTTTGATTTCACATTGATAGAACACGCAATGACCTGTATATGCAGTGCAAATACAAAGAACATGAGTGCAGACTCCTCAATTCTCAACACTTTAGTGTGGTTCTCAAACTTCAGTGAGCATCAGAATCACATGGAGAATTTATTTGTTCAAACATTTTTCCGGGCCCCACCCCAGCATGCTTAATTGGGAGGTTTAGGGTTTTTTGTTTTGTTTTTTTTTTTTTAATTAGTATTTCTAACACAATTTCCAGTGATGCTAATGCTGCTGGTTCAGAACCACCCTTTGAGAGCCACTGCTCTGTACTGCACAGTGATGAATGACAGTGCCAGAACTAAAGCTGGGACAACCTCTCAGACAGCACGGAGGTCTCTCCGCCACAGTGTTCCCCTTCCTCTGCATGCTACATTGCCCAGTGAATGCCCAGTGAAATATCTACGTGTTTATTTGTTCCAGCATATCCTACTTTGGCTTAATTAAGCAATTATTCAACAAGACAGAGGAGGCCCTGTGACCTCTTGCCAATTCTATTTGTCTGATATTCAGCATCACAATGTTCAAATAAACCACACACACACACCATTTAAGCTGATTAAAGTTTCACAAGCAGATTACTCTTAAATTGCCTGACCTGTGAGGTCAGAGAGGTTCAAAGGTGCAGACTAAGGTCTACCCTTTTACATACTCTTGATCTATCCCCCACCACCCATACCTAGGAACAAGGCAGCATCAAACTGTCATTGCATGCCGTCATTTCCACAATGCATCCAGGAAGTTTTCACTCCATCTGCCTTGTTACTCCTGGATCTCATCTTTTTATATTTTAGTTGCCTTTACTCTGCATTTTGACCTCATGTATGCTCATGTTTCTTGTACTTGCCCAGTTCAGAAAGTTTTTGAGTTGACTTCCTCTTCCAACAGGGTTTTAGGATTCTTGAGCCACCCACTGACACAGGGGTAACAAAAGTAACAACAGGCAGGGTGCAGTGCTGGTCATCCACTGCTGCACCTGTCCTCCAAGAGATGGGTGCAGGTTATGGGGAGGGGCAGAGAGAAACAGCAGTTCATTACCCCCAGAGCTAAAGACAAGATTCCCTTGAGAATCCAGCTCCAGCCACATCACTTTTACTGCTGTTACCATTTTTAAAACGTCAAAATATGCAGGTACATCTTGGTTCCTGACGCTGCTCCCTATTTGCCATTTGCAGGAATCTTCCCCAAAGCACCATAACTCAGAGATGTTTCATCTGAACTCCTAATAAAATTTGTAATAGCTGCCAATGGTTGACCACTTGCTAAGCCCTAGGTGAAGCACTTTACTTGTGTTATGCCATTTAATAATTGCAATGTCTCTGTCACAAAAGTGCTGTGTGCTCCACATGTCACATGTGAGGAAATTAAGGCTTAGGGATTTTAAGTAACCTGTCCAAAGTTACTTCTAATCTGTGTCGGAGCTAGTATTTCAACCCTGTCGTCAGTCGGTTGCCAGACTTGGCACTTGTGCTGGTGTGATTTCTGCTTTCCTATGGCACAGACAGCCTCAGCCAATCACACGGCACTTTCACAGTTTTTGTTTGACAGATTTGAGATGAATATCTTGTGAGCAAATGAACCTCAATTCAACACAGACATGTGGAGCACCAATTGGATTTTCAGCCGGCTGTGTGCAAGGATCCACCACGATGGGGTGGGAGGTGGGAAAAGGAAAGCATTCAATTTAGTCCCTACCTAGGGAGAATTTAGATATGCATGTAAGCTGTGGAGAATTGGACAGGAGAGCATATGGGGAAGTGGCCAAATGTGTGAGAGGCAAGCTATAAAATATGTGTTTTAGCTAAAACCGAGAACTAAAAGAAGAGGCTAAATAGGCTAAATAGTATAAAGGAACATCTTCCAAAATCAGTGGCAGAGCTACCCTCAGCTCAGATGGTGACAGACTGGCTGCCTAACGTCCTAAAAACTCAGTCATGTAACCGTTGCACTGGGGGTATTTACAATGCCCTCTCATTTTAATATTTATTTAGAAGTTAATTACCGTCACGGTCAACTCTTTTATCTCAACAACATTTCAGAGAAATGTGTTCAGGCATTATGTGACTTGTAAGTAAGATTATCAAGGAAGTTCACAGAAGTGCCATAATCAAGGGATTTGGCTGTTAATAAAGAACTTACTGAAAAACAAATGAGTTAACACTACACAGAATTTGAATTTGGCTAAAGCAAATTCTAGAATTGCATATAGTATAACACTTTTCTTTCTTTCGAGATGGAGTTTCACTCTTGTTGCCTGGACTGGAGTGCAATGGCGTGATCTCAGCTCACGGCCCACGGAATTACTGGGTTCAAGTGATTCTCCTGCCTCAGCCTCCCGAGTAACTGGGATTACAGGAATGCACCACCACCCCCAGCTAATTTTGTATTTTTAGTAGAGATGGGATTTCTCCATTTTGGTCAGGCTGGTCTCAAACTCCTGACCTCAGGTGATCCACCTGCTTCGGCCTCCCAAAGTGCTGGGATTAAGCATATGTCATCATAAAGCTAGAATAAAAATTAAAGACCAATGACCACAGTTATGTGCAAAACGGGCAATGAGACTATCTAGCTTTGAGAGTTAGACTAGACTCAAAAGCCACACTTTTGCCCTGTATTATTTAAATCTTTAAGTAAACACAAATATGCTTTCGGGTGGGCTTCATTGGATGTAATATCTGCATTATGCTGGTGCACTCACACAAAGACACACATAACTGATGAGCTGATTGATAGAGTGTATTACCCCTGCTTTACAGATGGCTAAATGGATTAAGCAAATATCATTGCTGCAGCATGAAGCTGAGCCTTTGTATTCACTTATAAAGTTAGGAAAATCACTGAAGAGAAAGAGAAATCGTGCAACTGGAATGGAGAAAAATAGCTCCAATTATAGTTCCAGAATTGGCTGCCACCTTTAGTGTTAACAGAGTGTGCACGTTTCTCAGAAGTGACA
The DNA here is from genome assembly GCF_000001405.40 of Homo sapiens. Taxonomy (NCBI): domain Eukaryota; kingdom Metazoa; phylum Chordata; class Mammalia; order Primates; family Hominidae; genus Homo; species Homo sapiens. The sequence goes on along the minus strand of NC_000002.12, from coordinate 21,945,834 downwards.
CCTGCATTGTCTATTGGGAAACATTTAATCCCTGGCGCTGCATTAAGGAGGCTGGTGAACATACAACTGAATAGAAATGATGTCAGTTCCTTCTGAGATAGAAGAAGTTTCACTAATTGAAGTAGGAGCATATCAGAGGGTTCTGTGGACCTCTCTTAATTTGATTCCACTTGCAGTGTACCATTCTGCCCCTGCAGAATACCTGGAAATTGAATAAACATATGACTATTTGAATGTAGATGTAGTTCTGATGTTCCCACTGCCCTCTGCATAAGCTTTATCTAGGATTTGATTAGCTGTGTCTCTCCTGCTAAAAGGAAAGGCATTTTGTTTCATTTAATGTAGGATTACCAGTGACTAAAGTGTGCTATGCATATGGTTGGCTCCTAAGGAATGATCATGGCAGTGTATTTACAAAAACAACTCTTCTATCTTGGGGTCACTTCTCCAACAGCCTAACCTATCAGCACCAGAGCCAAGAATCAGAGAGAAAAGACAAAGCTCTTTGGAACAGTCGGAATGGTTGTAACACTGACGTCTGTGAATTAACATCTGTGCTTTATCCAAAGGAAATACTCTTGAGTGTTCACGTAACATCTATTTTTTTAATCTTTATTTTTGTCTTCGGTAGTTGTCATTGGAACACAGTTAGTTAGTGCTCAGTAAACAAGTGCTGCATCAGGAAAGCATTTTGTGCATATTGAGGTTTTTGATCTGAAAAATATGAATGTGCTTAATGCTCGGGTACTTAAAAGCATAAGTTATCTGACAAAGATGCTCATGGTGGGAATTGATTCTCTTGTGATTCCAGAATAATGAAGTGTTGTATTGACTATTTCCAGGTGACACCACTGACTTGTCCTGATCTGGAGAGGCTCTGGCTTGCTCAGCCTGCTGTTGAGTTTGCAATGAGAGTGTAAAGTCAAGACAGCTACAGATGCTAACAGGACATGGACACCTTTTCAGATAACTGACTTCATCTGTCTGCCTGTTTATGTGGAGAGCTGATTATCAGCCATGTGCAAATACTGGGGAACCGATCTGATCTCTGTGATGTTTTACACTACAGGCGGAGCAGAGCCATCTTTCTATCCAACATTCACTCAGCGAGGCAGGAAATATAATTAAGCTTTCATGCATATTCCCATGGTACCCTGCACAGTCAATCATTGAAAAAAAGTCAGTGCCACAAGAGCTTGTTTGTTTGAAGACATCACCTAAGAACTTAAGAGCTCTGAGAGGCAGGAGAAGGGATGTAAGCCATGTGAGGCATGGGTAGGAGTGGTGGGTTCCTTAGGGGCGTGAAAACTGGGCTCAAGGTGATTGTGGGCAATTATTCTGCAATGCACATAAAGTATATTTAGTCCAATAAGCACAATCCAGAGAGTTTTTCATGGGAAAATTTCACTCCAACATTGCAGTGCCTAAAAGAATGGAAATTACTTGAAAATGGTCAGTATTGCTAGAGTATAATAATTGCTTGTTAGGCCAAATCTATTGTGCGGAGGACTTTACAGAAAATATTTATAGACACTTTTAATACAAAGAAATGTTATAGGACCAAGAATTATAATATCTAATTTGAATTCCAGCTTTGTCAATTATTGTGTAAACTTGAGCAAATTACTGAACCACTAAAACATCAATTTCTTCATCCATAAAATAGGTATGGTAAGATATAATCATACTATTGTTCTGTGGCTCAAACTAAACAATGTAATATATTTAAAGTAACTCATAGACTACCTAGACCTCAATAAGCTGTGATTGGTTTTATTAATCTTTTTGTTGTTATTCACGAAACACTAGTTCAAATACATATAGTGAATGCATTTAGAAAGCTATACATACTAGACTCTCTTTTTGATAGTTACAGTGCATGTACGAATTTTAAAGGCTCTGAAATGGTCTAAGTTAAAAACAATAACAAAATAGCAATAGGAAAAAAAAAAAAAGGACACCTGTGTGGTTAACCCAGTATTTTCCAAATGTATTTGAAAATAAGCCCTGTTTTTTTTCTTTTCTTTTTTTTTGCAGAGTCTCACTCTGTTGCTCAGGCTGGAGTGCAGTGTCATGATCTTGGCTCGCTGCAACCTCCACCTTCCAGGATCAAGTGATTCTCATGCCTCAGCCTCCCAAGTAACTGGGATTACAGGTGTGTGCCACCACGCCCAGCTAATTTTTGTATTTTTAGTAGGGACAGCATTCAACAATGTTGGCCAGGCTGGTCTCAAACTCCTGACCTCAAATGATTCTCCCAACTTGGCCTTCCAAAGTGCTGGGATTATAGGCATGAGCCATTGTGCCCGGCTGGGCCCTATTTTTTTCTATATTTAATTCTTACTACTATGTCATAGAACTAGGATTTCACATACTTTGGTAAAAGTCAACTTTGTCCAAATTCTTTAGTTTTCAGATCCCCAAACAAGTCTCTATCCAATATGAGGTTATAGCCCTTACCACAGGACACTCCATACCATGCGCTATGGTGAAAGACAGACATCTATTACAATCTCAAAGTTGGTTCCATATTGGAATCACCTAGATTACTTTAAAAATTACTGGTGTTTGGGTCCCACCAGAGATTTCTATATAATTGGAATAGATTAAGGCCTGGTCTGAAAATCTGTTTGAAACAGCCTAGATAATTCCAAAAGGCAGCCAAGTTTAAGAACTAGTGCAAATGATAATCCTAGGGCTACTTTTTTTTAACACCATTGTCATATTTTTCATTCAGATTTGAGGGTAAGCCTGCAATGTTTTTTACAAAGCTCAAGAATTTGGTAAATACCCAATGATCATGATCAGGTATCTCTCTGTAATCATTCTTTTATTAACTCATTTAATAATCATATACTGATCACAAAGGAAACAGCTAGGTTCAATAGGTTCTGTTCAACCCTCCTAACTAACTCCTTGCCCACCCACTTCCCAAAGCCCTCCCGTGTTTCTCAGTACTACTACTCACTTGGATTATTTTACCATGCAGAATACCACATGGGGTGTTCTGCCCAGCTAATAATTATCTTTTTGTTTGTGCCTAATTCACGAAGCATCCATCCCCCTGCCCTCCAGCTGAACCATGAGGTCCTAAACTCATATATCAGCAATGGAGATAGATAGGAAGGCAGAGACAGCCTCATACAGAATAAAGGACAAAAGCTTCAGAGTAAAATATACATGAGTGTAAACCCTGATTCTACCTCTTATAATCTGCATGGTCTTAGAAATTTTAATTTCTCTGAGCTCAGTTTTCTTATTTATAAAATAGGCGTGATAATATTAACCTCACATAGTGTGAAGATTCAATGAGATAAACCACGTGAAATTTATAGATCCAGGCATAACACACTAGAGATGATCAAACAAGAAAGTGCTTATTTATCCATGTTGACCATTTTGAGACCTTAGCTTATTGCACCACACTTGTACTGAGCAGGATGTAGACTCCTCAAAGGGTAATCTTGGAAAATAGACATTTCAAGAGCCAGGAGAAAGAAAGACTTATGGTACTTTCAGCAAAGTTAGTTTTCTTGAACTCATTGTTTTTCTGCTATAAATAAAAAATTGAAGAAAAAATAATATGGTCATATTGATACATGAATGTAGAGAGGGAATATATTACTATTCTGGATAACTAATATCCTTAAATAAATAGAAATAAATCTGATGAAATTCTATTTCGGTTGGACTTGAAGATATTTTCACTAAATACCTTTAGAGACCAAGTCAGAGAAAACATGAAACAGATTGCATAAAGGATATAAGAAACACATGAGTGAGTTATTATCCATGCTAATAAAAACTACAAAGAAACCACCTTAATGACACAGGGATGCCCCAGAGCATGTGGGGAACTGTATGTGGTTTCACGATGGTCTCCTAGGTTTGGGGCTCTGGCTGTGTGTCTGTACCAGACCAAAGAACATAGTCATTTGTTATGCTGTATCAATTAATACATTCTTTTCTGTTGGTGGCCACTCAACATCAACAAACATGATCCATTTCTGTTTTCTTTATGCCCTGTCGATTCACCCTGGGACTATCTGTATGGCACTCGCTCCCTGGAATGCAAGTGAAGTTTCATGGAAACTGTTGCCATTATGGTCTTAGCTTCCCCTGTTCTTTGTGTAGTCACAGGAACTCAGAGCAAAGATCATCAAACAGAGAAGCAGAATGGGGGAGGAAGACAGGCAGATACCACATAAGTCTGAGGCCATGGGTGTTTCACAGCATTCCTGTGTCCTTTATTGCCTGATAAGTTAGTCCCTATTTCTCCAAGGACTTTACTGGGGGTCTCTTCCATCTACCCAATGCCATCCTGCAAGGAGTAAGATCAGAGCCTCAGTATCAGCAGGCAGGGTGTGGGATCAGTGGTACCTGTGTTAGTCTAACTTGAAATCCGTTCGCTATGAAGAAATACCTGAGACTGAGTAATTTATAAAGAAAAGGAGGTTTCATAGACTCACAGTTCCACATGGCTGGCAAGGCCTCACAATCATGGCAGAAGGTGAAGGAGTCAAGGCGTGTCTTACATGGCAACAGGCAAGAGAATGTGTGCAGGGGAACAACTGCCCTTTATAAAACCATCAGATCTCATGAGACTTTTATTCACTGTCATGAGAACAGCACGGGAAAGACCTGCCCCCATGATTCAATTACCTCTCACTGGTTTCCTCCCACCACACACTGGGGTTATGGGAGCTACAGTTCAAGATGACATCTGGGTGGGGACACAGACAAACCATCTCAGTACTCTTTAACAGGATCTCTGGGAAACTGAGGGGGTCCCCAGGTATACAAAGCCCCATATGGACTCTTCACTGAACTCCCACCATAGAATATACGTGCCCTAGCCTGTTGACCAAGAAATTTGACAAATTTGCATTTCTGAACAAAAAGAGGAGTGTTAATGCATATTTAGTAGCATACTTCCTGGTAAATATTTAATTATAATATTAGCTATAATTCTATTATTATGATTATCATAAATCAAAAAGAGGAAGGCATAATATCAAGTGGTACAAGAAGGTCCAGTAAGATAAGGAATGTTAAAAGTTTATTGGCTTTAGCAATATGAAGATCATCTGTAACCTTGCAAGGTACACTGAGCAGTGAGTGGAAGGAGGGGAAACTGGAAAGAGGGTAGAAGACCTTTCAAGAAATTAGCATGGGAAGAATTGGCAAGAGACTAGCTGCAGTTAGAGAGAGAACCTGGGTCAGTCACACTGTTTTTTATGATTCATTCTTCATCTAGAAAGGGGAGCATATGGTAGTGCTGAAGTGTGAGTGATTCCCAACCCTCCTGCATCTTCCCACCTTCATGGTCCTTGCCTGCTCTAGATCCTTGCACCATTCATGGATTCCCTGGTGTCTTTTGCACCCTCCAGGAGTATGACCTTACAAGACAATTGAAAATTCTTAAATTGCTAAGCCTCAGGAAGGATGTAAGAAATCAATAGAATAATAGAATTCTGCCCCCCCATACTTTACACATGGTTATGACTTCAAGCTGAAATATTGGCACTCATTTTAAAATTAAAATGACTCATTTAGTCATTCCTCTATGGATCCAGAGGGAGTGGAGGACTCTTTTAGCAGGAGCCAATGGCCACTGCATGAAGAAAGTTCCAGAGCTGTTTATAGAGCCTCTGATGCAAGGGGTGACTCAATAGAGAATTGCCTGACTCTAGAGAGATCAAATTCTTTTTCCTGGAGAATGATTCAATTCTACACTCTTCCATTTATAATTGGCCATTTCTGAGGCTGCCTGGTCTTCAGTCTTCTAAAAATAAAATTCCAAGGACTTTAAATCTCTGATACCGAAGGCACTGAGTCACCAAACGATTTCTACTCTGTGTTGTAGATTTGATTTTGTCTATTATTTAGAGTATTACAAATTGACAATAAGTCAGTAAAACCAATCCTTGAGAATCCCTAATTCCTAAAATTTTTTCAACACTTTCATGTTTGGCATTTCCTTCATTTCCTAAAAATTATCTCCTTAATTGTGTTACTGATTATTTTCCCTCTCATTGGTCATATTTGCACTATTTTCTTATTGACAAAATAACTGTCGAGGGAAATTCAGCAGTTGGGCTCAAAGTCATATATGTGAATCCTTGCATTCTTCGATTATTCAGGCCCGGATGGTTGAGACGACTGACAGTGTTCATTGTGTTAAATTATCTGTCTCTGTTTCCAGAAGATGACATGACCTAGACTTGAGAAACTGCAGACATGTTGACAAAAGAATGAACTCTATGGAAAGCTTATTTGCTTTTAAGTAAAATGCGTGTTATTTTAAGCCCTACTAGCTCCCTGTTGCCTATAGGATAACTACAAAACTCTCTTGCATAGCAAGAAAATATCTTACAACCAAATCCTAACACGCTTTTCTAGAATCACCTTTTGAGGTTTTTAAGTCTTTGCTCTAAGCTATGGCTATACGTATTTTCCATGCATTGGTATATGCTATTTCTTCTACCTAGAGGTTCCCAGTTCCACATCTACATCTAATTTGAAAATACTTCTGATAATTTTATATCTAATTCAAGCATTAGCTCTTTTTCTAAAATTTCTGGCAAGTCCTTACAGAGAAATCTCAAAGCACTTTATGCATACCTGTACCACGGATCTTATTCATTACTTTCATTGTTGAATCTCACTCACTGTGCGTCTCTTACAGTAATATATGATTTTAAATGTCTTGCTCAAATTCTTATAATTAGTAACTCAGTATATAAATAAAATGTTTACATTGTGTATTGCCTCCCCAAAATAAATTGCTCATATGATTTCCAAATTTCCAGGGTAATTTAAAATGTAATATTCACTAATTATTAATCCCTGATGAGCTGCAAGTACCTGACATCCTCCCCTAGAAATTGCATCTCCTGAATTTTAGTCTTTGATTCCTGTTACAACATACCCACTGCCTTCAGATAAATCAGAGTGTGAAAGGATTGATTTCAGTTTCTGGGTATGATATATGTTCCTAAATGCAAATTTGAAAGAAAAATCAAATGAGGTAATCGTCTACTTCAGACTATTCTTGTTCAAGATGGAAAGAATCATAGACTGGGTAAGTGATTAGTCCAAAGCCAGGGAGTGATCTAGAATCAGATCCAGAACTAGAATGTAAGTCTCCTAATCATCATTTCTGGGATTACTGAGAATAACATTAGATTAAGAATCAAAATATCTGAGTCTCATTTTTGGCTTTGTCATCAATAAGCTGAGTTATTTAAAGCAAATCCCCTACACTTTGAGTTTTACTTGCTTTACCTGCAAAATAAGTAAAACCATACCTATAAGGTGCTGTGAGGATTAAGTATGATAAGAAAAGCAAGGAACACTTTGAAAATTACTACACAATGTGTTCATAATAATTTTTATTACAAAATTAATTCTAGTTTGTGGCAGATAAGGAACCCTTCAGGTCACAGCTCTGACTGAACTCATCCTGGTCTTTGTTGCCTCTGTAAACAGAAATTTTTTTCATAGAGTAACTTGGTAGCTTGTTAAGAATATGCCTTATTGTTCCTCTTGTTGCACAATGTACCACTCAAAGAAAGCTATTTTAATGATCGAATTTCAGGCATTTGGGGGAAACAGAAGGAAAGAACCTGGGTGCAAGGGCGAAGGTCTTCTCAGGGACTTTATCATTCACTAGGATCTCACTTCATCTCAGAAAGCCGTCATCCTTTCTAACGTGTGTGTAGTCTAGGCTATGCCCCACATACCCAATTAAGCCTCCATTCTAACTACAAGGAAGGTTAAACTTTACCTTCAGCTAATCTGTGGCTGATAGATACTTGTGCAAAGATAGCACCAAGGGTAGGCCGCAGATGGCTTTACAACTTCCTGTGTTCTACAGGAATGGTGGCGGTGGGATGCTTGATAGGGGAGGACTAAAAAATATGTCCATCAGGGAGGGGAACATCACACACTGGGGACTGTCGGGGGTGAGGGGCTAGGGGACGGATAGCATTAAGAGAAATACCTAATGTAGATGACGGGTTGATGGGTGCAGCCAATAACCATGGCACGTGTATACCTATGTAACAAACCTGCATGTTCTACACATGTATCCCAGAACTTAAAGTATAATAATAATAATAATAATGTGTCCATGCACAAAACCTAGCATTTGAACCTACCTGCAAAACCCATGCCTCTTCTTCCTCTTCACAGTAAGTATCGCGTGTACTGTATATAGAGTGTGTCTGTGTGTATGGGGCATGTGTGTGTATTTGTGTATATGTGTATCAGGGTAGGGGAAAGATGGTCTCCTACAAGGGCAATGTTGTATTTGCCTTAGCACTCTCTAGGCCAAGTTGGACAACACCTGTATACTCTGGAGACTGCAGCCTTTAATCACTCCTTCACCAGATTGCTAATATTCCAAATTATATGTTCTATGGGAGTGTGCATGTATTAGTAAAGCCTCCAGAGACATTGCCTTGCCTGATAAATAGATAAAGCTGCTTGGTGGATACCTTCTTATCTTCTTATTAATGATATGCCCAAAGCTCAGATTAACTCCCTACGACTTTGAAGATTGCCTCAATAGGCTTTTCTGAAAAATCAGAGCATTATAATCACTGCTTACCCTTTAGCCACCCATTTTGAAATTTGGATAGAAAAATGATCCCATTTTCTTGCCCTGTTTTTTTTCCCCCCTGTGGCTCTATTATCACCAAGGGACACCCAGATTTATCTGCCTTAATAGTATATTTCATTGTTTTCCATAGGACTAAAAATAATAGACTTTTAAAGAGAAATAGAATTGAATTTTTCTCCTTCTTTAGATAACTTAGTAGGAATTCCAAAATTATTACTTGGGAGATTTTCCTCACTGCAAATAGATTATTGTCTGTGCTACGTTTTAATTTCTCTTGCCTATATCTTTTTTTTTAAAAAAAAAAAACAATATATTACTATTTAAGGGTACATTGTTCACTCTCTTTAAATCTGAAGAAAAAAAGGCGGACTAGCTTCTGGTAATTAAAAGTGTTTGCTGGAGGGCGTGAGATACCTGTGGGTCACTCTTTTGGTTGTTAATTTTGTGGTTAAGCAAGCTGTGCCCTGTAGCACTTTGTGTCTGATTCACTATCACTTTGGACATTTAAATGTTAATTATCTTGGTTTTCTAAATTATTGTATCTGACTTTTCCATGCCCAGTGCCCTGGATATTACAAGCCATCACTAAGCTGGTGTTTGTGAAGATATCACAGCTTCTATCTCTTGCCTGATGGTAGAATGCATACTTCATGCTGAATTATGAAGACCCAATTAAGAGTGTATTTCAATCTGCTGGCTTATTATAAAAAGAGGATATAGAACAAAGAGATTGGGGGATTTGGAGCCTTTATGTGACCAGGCAGGGGAATTGTGGTCAGAAATGGGCATGGAGAGGCCGTAATGGAGTCCAATAAAGGTTGGCATGTTAGATTCCATCTAAGATGGCTGGGCACACAAGGGCAAGAAATTAGCTGGAAAGCTAGCTGGCAAAGCAAATTGTTCACACAAAATTACCTTCTTAATAATGAATCTTAGCAGACTTTCCCTGTGTGGGGGTATGTGTGTGTCTGCACGTGCGCATGTGCGTATGTGTTTCATGATTTATTAAATAGATTAACTACATTGATTTTTACTTTGAGATTTCCAGGCAATCACACAATACTTGAATTTTTCAATCTTGTTGCTACATTATATGTTAATAAAAGCCAATAGCAAACATTTAAAAAGTTTTCCTAGATTAGGGCCCTTTCAGGAATCGATAATCTCATTGTCACGGTTCAAAAAGCTATCAATTCTATGAGGACCACTAATGGCTGCAGAAAGAATGCATGTAAACACCACCAGAAAAAAATCAATGTTCTCTCTAAGTCATCGATAATTCTTGATGGCAATTGGAATTATGAAAAACATTACATGTACCTCGTGTCTTAAGCATTTGGAAGGGATCCACATCAGGTAGCTGGAATCCTGGTGTCCAGGACAACGCAGCTATCATTTAGGCTTTGTTGATCTGTTAACTGGTGCTTGGATAATACCTTATGGTTCCTAAGATAGAGTGTCATACACGTGACTCATTTGGCAGCCACAGCAACCCTGTGAAATGAACACTGAAGTAAAACTAGCCTCCTTGTTGTAGACGAAGTGCCAGTGAAGAGGTGGCACATTGGCCAAGCCAATCACAGGAGAGTTGGGAATGACGTGTAGCTCTTTTGACTCCTGTTCTTCCCCCTTGGTGGTGATGGGTGCCTCCACCAATATAACTGTGGATGCAATGTTTACTTATTCACCAATTCTCAATAGGCTATAATGAAGCAGTTTAGTGAGAAATCTGGATATTAGTAAATAATCCAGAGGTTCAACTGCATAGTACATCTCATCTAGGTTTACAGAGTTACTACAAATGAGTATTCACTCAAGGATAAGGGCTATCCTTTTTTCATGCTCTTCAATTTTCTCAGGGGTTGCTGGAGTATCTCTACTCTCTCAAGTATGGTATTTGGCATTTATTCCCATACTTCCCCATTTTAAAGGGAGATGATAACAAATAGAGCTGTGCCTACTGAGGTCACTCAGCTCTTAGCCTTAGCACTGCATAGCAATGAACACATTTTTTATCCTCTAACATCGTAATTTTTTTAGGTAGCTGTCTCTGCCTTTGGTTAAGGCTTATTTTAAAATACAAATTTATGTTAAAATTTAAAAAATGTTTACAGATTTTGTTTTTAGTTTGAGGCTTAACCTCAAAGAAACAGAATTAATAGAAGAAGGAAATGATCCTGGGAGATCCTCAATGCAGTAATGAATTCAACATTCTTCAATCAAATTTAAAATTTAATTATAGGTAATTTTTCCTTTTTTAATGAAGTACTTTTAACATAATGCTCCATTATTATATAATTAGATAGTTAACTCTATTAATCACATTCCAACTTATTTTTCTCCATGTTTTCTCTAAATATTTATATACTGTGACCACTTTTACAGCCACTATGCTCACTGTAATCAGAAGTGTAAGTCAGGGTAGACAGAAGATCTTGGTGAAGAAAATTCAGTGTTGTTTCTCCACGTGTGCCTCCCATGCTCCTTGATTTAGCAGAAAATTGTTTTCAATGTATCTTTCACATTTTCAAATCTATAAAAGGCATTCAACATTTTATCTGCCATTTTCTGACGGCTTCATATGCCCCACTCAGACACTTTGCTAGGCCTGGATTCGGTGGAAAGGGAAGGCGAAAGATGACTAGGCATATTCTTTGATCTAAAGGAGCTCATAATTTAATGATGAAAAATGTATGAAAGATGCTCATGGCTCCTTCTCTTAAAGAGCTCATAGTGCAAAATAAGAAGTCAAGTGCAAGACCTGTCACAGATATGAGACACTACTAGATTTAGTGCACCAGTGATGGTGGAGGGGCGTGGGGTAGGTGAGCCTGGCTGCATTCAGTCTTTTTCTGGTGACCTTGACTTGGTCATATTTTACATGTTGAATTAAATTTGCACCACACATGAGTCCTTGCAAGTCTGTATTAAATAGCTCATGTCCTAGCTCATATTCTTAATTCTCATTTGATATAGCAGGAAATGATATTCTTTTCCATGTTTGCACATAACCAAATAATTATTTTCAAACTGTATTTATTTAGCCCAGGGACAGATATCTAACCTAGCTCTGTAGTCTTACATATATTCCACTGTGTATTCTTGGGCAAGTACTCAACCTTGCCATGTCTGTTTCCTTACTTATAAAATGGAATATATATTACATACAAAATTTTTAAAGTTAGTAAATATAAATCACTCAGAATCATTCTTAGCACCCAGTAAAAATACAAAGTGATAGATATTACTTCTATAATTCTATTTTACTTTGATTTTTCTGTTTTTATTAGCTAGAGATGCAGTGAAAACTGACTCTACCAATGCCCTCTTTCTTGTCCAAAACTTCTATGTGAATATCCATGAATGATTTCCATGAGAGTGGTTGAAGTTTGTGTATATTATAAACTTTTTTATTTTTAGAAAGAAAAGGAAACCAATTTTCAATGACTGTTGTCTTACAGTACCTTCTCTATTATTTTGATGTTCTAATGGTTACTTTCAATGGGTATTGCACTAATGGACATTATCAAGGCTAAAGCAGCAGTCTTAAAAGACTTTAATAAGCAGAAAAGAAAAACGAAAAGGAAGAGCTAGAAAACAGGAAAGTAATCTTCCTTTATCACTGATTTTACTGATTCCTTCACATTATTATCTGTTTCAGCCTACTTACCTGTGGTGACCCTGGATTCTGTACAACTGATTTGTTGATACAGAAGAGAGTCATGCAAACTACAGAAATCCACCCAAAACCGAGAGAAGGAGAGTATCTGTTTTCAGAGGAGCTGTCTGCTTTGGGAGGAAGTTCCAGAAGTGAGCCTCAGGAATTACAACATTAATTGAGAAACTGAATGATTAAAATTGTAGTAACAAATAGCTTTCCTTGGAACTGTCCCAGAATCTATTATTTTTTTTTCCTTTTCTGTCATTAACAAAAACACCAACAAAAATCATCATGTGTGAAAGAGGTACTATAATAAAAACCCTAGCAGTGTCTACTGCGTGCTTCGTGCAAGGTATCCATGATGGTCTTAACTCACCACAGAAGAACTTGGGGGAGTGTGGTCAATGCCAGGGGTTCACGGGGAAAAATGAAGTTGTCCACAGGTTGACCTCCTTTTTGCACCACTGGGAATTACTCTTTGCATAAGAAAATACTGCCTATTGGAAATGGGAGGTGAAATTACACATTGGACAAATGGGGCAGAAATTGACCCAGAGGTTTTTATTTTTCTGTGTTGCTCCTTGTCCCTAAATACACTGAAAATTCTTGACATTCATACAGTATTTTCTCTTTCATCCAAGCACCCAGTTCACTGGTGATGCACAGGAAAGAATTGTTGATGTTCTTTGGGCTTGTGTGGGAACTAAGGTGATAGATACTTGTATTTAATGAATGATGAGTCTGTGGCAAATGCCTTGGAAAGTGCTACATATACATCACCTATTTAATCCTCAGAACCATTCTCTGGGGTCAAAATTATTGGTCCCAATTTACAGCTGGGAATGTCGAGGCTCTGGTGTGCTAAATAAATTTGCCATAATCAAAATTATGTAAGCCAGTTTGTTACTTCTTCCCTAGTTAATCACTACTATTAGAACATGAACCCTTGGTTAAATTATCTATCTGAAAATTAACTTCAGGAATATAGGTTATTTTCAATATCTTTCCTTTGTGTTTGTCACCTGTTAGTAGGAATTCTCTTTACTTGATTTTGGAACTGATGGGTCTTAAGCAAAATATCTTTTGCATACAATTATTCACGAAGGTAGCAGGATCTTTTGAGAGGTTTTAATAAAAGATGAAGGGCTAAAATTTGACTTGAGAGTCAAAAGCCTAAGAAAATATCCAGAGACAAAAACATACACACAGTAATCTGGATATAGTCTTCCAGCAGATAGCGTAACCAAAAATGAATTCACCATGAAGTCTAGGTGTGGGAAATGCTCAATGATGTTAAATTAACTCCACTGGTAACAACAGGTATTCAAGTACATCCACTGATGCTTTTTTCTTTTTTTTTTTTTGTTATAGTTTAAGTTATAGGGTACATGTGCACAACTTGCAGGCTTGTTACATAGGTATACATGTGCCATGTTGGTTTGCTGCACCCATCAACTCATCATTCACATTAGGTATTTCTCCTAATGCTATCCTAGCCCCCCACCCCTCGACAGGCCCTGGTGTGTGATGTTCCCTGCCCTATGTCCAAGTGTTCTAATTGTTCAATTCCCAACTATGAGTGAGAACATGCAGTGTTTGGTTTTCTGGGGCCAATATTCAACATTCTTAAAGAAAAGAATTTTCAACCCAGAATTTCATATCCAGCCAAACTAAGCTTCATAAGTGAAGAAGAAATAACATCCTTTACAGACAAGCAAATTCTGAGAGATTTTTGTCACCACCAGGCCTGCCTTACAAGAGCTCATGAAGGAAGCACTAAACATGGAAAGGAACAACTGGTAACAGACACTGCAAAAACATGCCAAATGGTAAAGACCATCGACGCTATGAAGAAATTGCATCAACTAACACATAAAACAACCAGCTAGCATCATAATGACAGGATCAAATTCACACATAACAATATTAGCCTTAAATGTAAATGGGCTAAATGCTCCAATTAAAAGAGACACATACACTGATGCTCTTCAAATGGCATGATGACCCAAGGGACTTCTTGGTAGATGGGGAAAAATGTGAGTGGTCATTAAAAATATTTATAACTCAGGCAGGTGATTGAATGCAGACCTTGAATTGACTGAATAAGATAAATAGAAGCTACAGAAAATAGATACCTCCGCTTTATAGGCAATTATAATCTAACCAAACACGCCTAAGACTCAACTCCTAAGACTCAGAAGCAAAACTAATCTCTCTGAACCTCAGTTTCAAAACCTGTAAATTAGGAAAGCAAACTCTCCTCTCCCTCTTATCAAAAGAAGAAAGTGTGTGTGGCAGTCCCAGGTTCTAGCTTGTCTAGCTTTCATCTTCACTTTTGCAGCCTCAGAGCATCCAGTCCTCTTCTTTCCCCCTCTGGATTTCATTCCCTGTCCCCTGGTTGAGTTGCTATATGCAAGGCAATGCTGATTGTTTAAGATGTTCGCTCTGTCAAACAACCTATTTCCTCTTTGTACTCTATGAAAGAGCAAAGCAAGGCTTTTTAAATCCAAAGCACCGATGATGTTTAAAAAGCAGAATTCACAAATGGCCCACCCAGGGAGTCTCTTAGCAAGGTGCTTGAGCCTCAGATGCAGGGGAGGCTCAGTGGACCAGGACTGTTTAGGCAAACCCTTCAGGAGTCTGGGGATTTGTGAAGCTCTACCTGGTATCTAATAAGGAAGTCTAAATGTCTGTCGGGTAGTCCTGTCCTGGCTGTGTTGGTGCATACCAGGGGGGACAGTTCTATCATACCAGTCAGTTGATGAGAAGGAGAAAGTTAGTGATGGCAAAGGCCATTCTCCCTGCATGAGATGGATTCAAGTGCACAGAAAATGCCAGGTCAAAAGTTCAAAGTGGTGCTTGTTCATTCTTGTGGCAGAAGTAGGATCACAAGGGAGAAGTTATACTTTGCAAGAACTGAAGAGAGGGAGGATTTTGAAGACATATGAACCAGCTTCAGTCAAAAGGCAGCTGCACTACACTAGACTCCTAAGACTACAAAAAGTTTCAGGCTGACAGTGTGTCTTCATTCTGATGGGGAAAAATAAAAGTGTTTCCTCTAGTTCTGGCAGCTCTGCAAGGAAAAAGAGGTATTAGCAGAAGTCTGAGCCTTCAGGGGTCTGGCCCACATCCCAGCCATATCCTGAGATAATGGCAGGACTTCCAAAAATTCTTGTGGCAGGGATCCGCATTTCCTGTCCTAAATGGTTAGGCCATCTGGAATGTCTATTATGGAAGCATTAAACTTATGGAACTGTCCTCGCAGGCTCTCAAAACTACTTCAAGTATTCTACAGAATAAAAATAAGTTGAATAGAAACAAACTGTGCAGATTACCAACTCTTCTAGTGGAAGAGGCACAAATGTACCAGAGTCATATGGAAAATACCAAAATATAAAAACTAAGAATTTAAAAAGTACATTTCACAGACTGATTTCAAAGAAGAAATTTAGGATATAAATTTGAATCTAAAGTCAGGGCATTTTGGCCATGGACTTCTGGAATTTTTATAGCTACCTCCATTATGTACGTTAATTACAGTTTCCATAGAAGCAAGACAAAGAGAGGCAGGTGGATTGTGCAGTAACTCCCACCTCCCAAAATGCAGTCAATGTGCTTTGATGGGGAGGCAGGAGTATCATCTATCCATACACAAGACAGAACTGCTCTTCTTTAGACATAGTTGTAATTTTGGAATACACATGTAAAGAAACTGACAAGCAAAAATATATAATAAAAAAGCTAGTCATAGTGAAAACATGCTCACGCCTAAAATATTAGTTTTCTATTGCTGCATAATGTGTTACCACAAACTCAGTAACCTTAAACAATAACCATTTATTATCTCCCAGTTATGTAAGTATGTATTGGGTTTTCTACTTTGGCTATCACATGGCCAAAAACAAGGTGTCTGCCAGGCTGTGCTCTAACCTAAGACTCTGGTGAAGAATCCACTTCCAAGCTTGCTCTGGTTGTAATCCTTTATAATTAACGAGTAAGTGTAAGTAAGTGTTTCCCTGAGTTTTGTGAGCCATTCTTGCAAATGATCAAACCCAAAGAGGAGGTAATGAAAACTCCTGATTTATAGCTGGTAGATCAAAAGCACAGGTGACAATTTGAGACTTGCAATTGGCATCTGAGGTGAGGGGGGTCATGTGGGACTGAGTCCGTAACATGTGGGGTCTGCACTAACTACAGCTTGTGTCAAAATTTAACTGAAGGTTAGAACACCCAGTTGCTGTCTGCTGGAGAATTGATGTGTGGGAAACAAAACAAAGCAAAATGCACATCTGGTGTCAGAAGTGCTCTGGGTTGTGTTGAGTGAGAGAATATTAGGAAAAGAAACAGTTTGTTTTTACTACTGTATACACTGGAGCAGCCAACTGAGAGAGGGAGTGGGGTAAAACTGTTAGGACATTGAATCCTAAATGATCTGTCAATGAAAGATCTCTGTGGTAGGCTACCTAGCCCCTAAGTAGACTGCACCTTTGCACTTCCAATAGATTAAGTATTGGACAGATGTTCCAAGGAATCAAAGACAAGGACCAGATCTGGATTCTCAGAAAATATTATCCCCCCTCTCAATGGCCTTACCGACACCTCAGGTAGGTCATTGATGGCAATGTTAGTATTTTAACACTCTCATGGAATATACCCTGTCTATACACTGGTTAAGCACCTGAGTACACTAGGATAGAATGTAAAGAAAATAAATGAGCTATATATAAACTGGGGCTCTAAGGAAAAATTAGAATATGTACATGACTATAAAGGTGATGTCTTTGTTTACCATATATTGTAAGTTACATTATATTATAAGATAATTTTTAAACAATAATCTCCCCTGTCCTTATGCTTAAAAGTTACAAACTAAATCACTGGTCTTCTTGATACTTCAGCATAAGGCCCTCTACATACGGTTAAAAAACTGTTCAGAATATATTGCAAATATGCTTTTCAATGAATAAATAGATCAGTGAAGTTGTTCTAAACATACTAAGATTTATTTAACAGACTAAGATATTTTGGTTGAGATTTTTTTTTTCAGGGGAGCCCTCTTGTGGGTGATAGGCATATTACCAAAACATAGATTTTCATCGACTTGGTTGGGGATAGGCTGAGAAGAAGACTTCATATTTTAATAATAATAAAGTTGAATATGTATGCACTTTGTGCCTCCACATAGTTTCTTCCTTTTTAACTTCTCTAATTCAAGTATAGAACTCTAGACTCCAAAGCTTTCAGAGGACATAAAAGGTCATCTGCTGGCAGTTCCCAAACTGGCTAGTCACCAACGTCATCCAGGGAGCATTTTAAAAGTGCATATTCTTGGGCAATACTCTGAGATATCTGGGGTTGGTAAGTGTATTAGTCATATGGCTATAAAGATACTACCTGAGACTGGGTAATTTATAAAGGAAGGAGGTTTAATTGACTCACAGTTCTGCATGGCTGGGAAGGCCTCAGGAAACTTACAATCATGGTGGAAAGGGAAGTAGGCACATCTTACATGGTGGCAGGAGAGAGAAGAGAAAGCAAAGGGGAAAGCATCCCTTATAAAACCAACAGATCTTGTGATAACTCCCTCACAGTAATGAGAACAGTATGGGGGAACCACTCCCATGATCCAATCACCTCCCTCCCTTGACAGGTGGTGATTACAATTCGTGATGAGATTTGGGTGGCGACACAAAGCCAAACCATATCAGTAAGTCTAAAGCAGAGTCAGCAATCTCTATTGTGTTAAACCTCCCCAAGTGATTCTGAATATGAGTTGGACTCACCACTGTGGTTTTCTGAATTCCCTTTAGGTTATATTTGCTGCAACCCAAGGGATATTAATATTTTAAGGTTATTCATTCAATCTCTAACTCAACTGTGAACTTGACAGGGACAGGGCCCTGTTGCCTTTCTATTCCTCTAGCACCTACTGCAGTGACGAGTAAAGAGTGGGTACTCAATAAATGCATATCAGATTGATTTAGGTAATTCTAATATACTAATCTATATTGTTAATAATATGCAAATTATAGGCTCAATGGATTTACATTCTGGAAAACTTTAAACAAGGAGATTACAGTGTAAAACTTCACAATAGTCAATCAATACAAATGACCTTAAACAATCCAGGAGCATTCAAACAAGTACCGTATATATCTGTAAGGCTTACATTGAATAGTGGAATAAAGTTGATATTTATCT
The DNA here is from genome assembly GCF_000001405.40 of Homo sapiens. Lineage (NCBI taxonomy): Eukaryota > Metazoa > Chordata > Mammalia > Primates > Hominidae > Homo > Homo sapiens. The sequence goes on along the minus strand of NC_000002.12, from coordinate 21,927,346 downwards.
TCCCCCACTTGCATTTAGAAAGAATGTGCTGTTATATTTAAGTTACAGTTAATAAAGTTTTTCAGCCTTTCTCACCATTCAATGTAATGTACTTGGTATGAGAGCAGTAATGGAAAAAAACAATCTGCAAGAAATTGTGTAAGAGGGATACTCTCATTTATATGCACAATTTTAAATTCCAAGAAAATAAGAAGCACGTTACCATGCATTTACCTTTACAAATGCTGGGCCAAGGCAAGATTGGATGGATATAAGCAATCGGATCTGACGATAATATATTCCATTTGCAATTGTTAGAGATTTATGCAAGATAGCAGGTAACACCTTTCTTTTGAATTTCAAATGCTGTGTAACCTTTTGAAGATAACAAGGGATATTCATCTGAAATAATGGTGGGAAATTTATAACGGAGACCACATAATTAGTTGTTATATTTTGCAAGTACCACACACTCTCATAGGAACATGGCTAGAAAAAAAAAATTCCTCAGTAAGAAGTCAGTTTCTTTTTTTTTTCCTTTTCTTTCTTGCAGTTGAACAGCTTTGTACATACGATACTTAGAAGAATATAAATAAAATGTAAGACAGCATCCTGAAAGGCTTATGTGCTCTATTGGATTTTCAAGTTTATTTCTAATGTGTATCCTTATCAAAACAGCAAATTATGTGAGTCTGGGTTAAATTATTTACCACAACAGGGATCCTTCAGTCCAGAACCTAGCAATTCAATGTAGGAAGGAAAAAAAAAACAACATAGATTAAATGTTCTTAGGGTGGTCCTTTTTACACGTTATTTTCCAGCAGAATTCAATACTCCAACTTCAGTTCTGAGTAAAAATACATCTAAATTTCCTGGCATGATGCCTTACAGCATATTTGGATGTACATTAACAATAGTCATAAGAAGCTCAACATAACTGAGCATCAAATTTAGTACTACCTATTTGCTTTCTCCTAAGGGGTTGGGGGAACACATGTAGATATTATTCACATTTGTTTTCAAACCCTTTCAATTGTGGGGATGATGGCCAGATTCCTGGTTTGACTTGCCGAAGTCAGCGTCTATTGAAGCCCTTATTCTTAAAATACTGTGGTTGTGCATTTTGACCTGTCTGGTCATTCCCTGAGGGACTGACACAGAGGCTGACTTTTGTTTTGCACTCCCCTACATCAACTTGCACCCTGGGCTAAAGCGGCATTCTGGGTGGCAAAAAGACTTAAAGACATACATACTTTGTGCTCAGCTGGGGCAAGAGATATGAATGGGATGAGAGGCAGACAGAACCCAGGATCCCAGGAAGAAATAATTCAAGGAAGAAGATTACTGGGGGGAAATAATGACTTAGAAGGGCCATGCCATATACTGGAAAGGCAAAGTGCAATGTGTACAACTAAGACCAGATTCATGCCCAGAAAAACACTTGAAAGTACTAGAGGCTTCTACCTTTGATAGGTCTAAGGGCTTCACATATTAGGGCAAGGTCACACATGGTCTGGATTAGCAATGGAGTCCATAGCCCAGAGCCAAGTCCCTAGCTCAGAGCAAAGAGGCAAAAACTAGCCTATTTTTATTTTTTACTTGACTCCACACATTTAAGGAAATCTCTGTCAGGTCACTGACTGACCACTGAAATAACAGAACAGAGACATTACTGACCACACACAACAAGGAATATAGTCCTTGATAAAATAGCTTGAACACGTCACTAAACAAATGGACCATTGCATCCATCAAACATCAAAAACAAACCCTGGAGAAAAGAGAACCTGATTTCTAAAGTTACAATGCTAAAATATTCAAAATGCTCAGTTTTCAACAAACTACAAAGCACATGTTTACCTCTGTAACAAACCTGCACATCCTGTACATGTACTCCAGAACTAAAAAATAAAAAAAGTACAGGGCAGACAAAGAATCAGAAAAGTGTGGCCTATTTATGGGGTGGGGGATGGGGGTGGGGAATCAATAGAACCTATCCTTGAGAAAGCCCAGACATTGGTCTTACTAGACCAACACTTTAAATTAGCTGTCTTCAGTAAATCAAAAGAGCTAAGAGAAGCCATGGACAAAGTATTTAAAGAAAACCAGGAAAATGGTGAAGGAGCAAAATGAGGTATCAATAAATAGAAATTATGAAAACTAAAAATAAAACAATTAAAATTCTGGAGCTGAAAAGCACAACTGAAGAGAAAAATATCCAGTCTCAGGATCAAAAAGTTTTATCTCTTTTCTTTTGTATAAAGAAAAGGGAAGTGAGCCTAAGAGACCTGTGGGACAGCATCAAGTACATAAACATATGCATTATGGGAGTCCCAGAGAAGACGGGAAAGAGAGTAAGGGACAGAAACAATATTTAAAGAAATAATGGTCCCAAATCTGACATACTTGAGGAAATACATGAATCTACACATACAAGAAGCTTCACAAACTTCAGAAAAGATAACTTTAAGAGAACTACACTGAGACACACTATAATCAAACTGAAACTACAAAGAGAGGATCTTGAAAACAGCAAGAAAGAAATGACTCATCATGCACAAACGATTCTCAAGATTAGCAGCTGGTTTCTCTTTGGGAACCAACTACTGTAGGAAAAAGTGAATGGAATGATATAAAGTTCTGAAAGAAAATTTTTAAAAGGATGTCAACCAAGAATTCTATATTCAGTAGTATTATTTTTCAGTGTGTATCTGATAAGAAACTTGCATCTGGAATATGTAAAGAACACTTACAACCCAACGACAAAAAGCAACCAAACTGATTAAAAATCAGAAAAGGACTTGAATAGACATTTCTCCAGAAAAGTTATGCAAATAGCACATAATCAATGTTCCAAATCATTAGTCATTAGAAAAGTGTAAATCAGAACCACAATCAGGTACCACTTCATACTCACAGGAGTAGCTATAATATTTTTAAATGGAAAATAAGTAGTGTTAATGAGAATGTGGAGAAATTAGAACCTTCCTATATTGTTGGTAGAAATGCAAAATTATTTACCCAGTATAAAAAAATATTTGGCAATTCCTCAAAAGTTAAAATATGGAATTACTCTATTGCCCCACAATTCTACATCTAAGTATATATCCATGTAATTGAAAACTGTTACTCAAATGAATATGTGTACACTCATATTCATAGCCACACCATTCATAGCAACCAAAAGGAGAAACAACCTAAATGTCCATCAACAGATGCATAAATATAAAAATATAGTATACACAGTGAACTATTATCCAGCAATGAACAGGAATGAAATATTGAAAAATACTACAATATGGATGAACCACAAAACCCCTGTGCTAAGTAAAAGAAACCAGGTATCTTGTATGACTCCATTAGATAGACTATCCAGAACAGATAAATCTACAGAGATAAAGCACAGATTGGAGGATTCTATGGGCTGGGGGCAAGGAGAAACGGGGAACAACTATTTAATTGGCATAGAGTTTCCTTTCGGGATGATGAAAATGTTTTTAAAAAGTGGATAAATATAGTGGGAACACAATTTTTTGAGCTTACTAATTGCCATTAAACAGCTCACTTTAAAATGATTAATTTGATGTTGTGTGAACATTGTCTCATTAAAAAAAAAAATCTCACAGGGAAAACATTGCAAGGTAAAACATATGTCATTACATGTCTACCACCTTCTCCAGAAACTTTAAAGGTTGGAGTTCAAAGGAGAGGAGTATCATTCTAGCCTATTAGCTTGGGACAGCTTTTACAGACCACAGACACTAAAGCTAGTAGTTGGGATAACTCAATAGGTGTTCTCCTAGAAGCCTGCTCTGATAATTCCATTCATCTAGGCTGATAATTTAAAGCCTGCATTTCCAGGTATGACCATTAATTCCCTGAGAGGTTGAAATGGCCTACTGTAGAATCAGTTATTAAATTACTCTTCACAAATATAAAGAAAATTCTCCAATGTGTAACAGCAGCTGCTACTAAGTGATACACAATTAAGTACTGTGTTCATCTTTGCCCTTTTAACTCTGGTCTGGTAGTCCAAAGAGAGAACCATTCTATTAATACTTCTTAAAAAAAAATGTTTTACAGGATATCACTAGGTTGCCCCAGTCTCGAGTGCAGTGGCTATTCCCAGACACCATCCCACTACTGATCAGCATGGGAGTTCAGACCTGCTTCATTGCTGACCTGGGCCAGTTCACGCTTCCTTATGCAATCCAGCAGTCCCCTGCTTCCAGGAGGTCACATATTGATGCTGAACTTAGTGAGGACACATGATGAGCATAGCGCACTACAATCCTGGACCCCTGGACCCAAGGGATCCACCCTGCCTCAGCCTCCTGAGTAGCTGGAACTGCAAGCACGTACCACCATGTCCGGCTCTACCTCTTCCTACAGAACTCTTGATCTCTCCCTTGTGCTCCGTAGGTGACTCGTTCAGTTCCATGTGCTGAACTGAGACAGTAGTTTTTATAGGCACTTTTTGTTTGCACTAGACTCACCACACAATTTCAGAGGCCAACTCTGACTCTTCATCTATTCGTCTATCGCCTGTCTCCCACTTATATTCAGCCAGAGAAAACACTTTGCTACACATCATGCCATTTTCTTCTCTTTCTGTTCATCCAGTGACTTCTTATCCATCCCTTATTTTAAGCTTTCTTCTCTGCTAAACATTAAATAAGGCATGCCCTCCTCCATCCAAAATAAAACAAATAACTTGCCTTCTCTGAGAAGACCAGTAATAATAGTAAGAAGAAGAAGAATGTGTTAATAAAATAACCAAAAAGTAATGTAACTAATAGTACTTATGGCAATTCAGTACATAAAATGATTACATGCTTCACAATAGCTTAGGAAGGCTTCAGGGAGAAAATGGGATGTGTGTCAGAACTTAGATAAGTAGATTTTGATAACAGGAAGGAGGAGGGCTTGGAGGGGGAGCATTTGTATACTCTGTGTCTGTGGAAAATGTTGCCTTTTCAAGCAAGAGAGGGCCCAATCTACATGACTCTTTTTAAAGGTACTGATTTCTGGGCTGCTCAATATTGGAATATACATTGTAATTACAGTTTTCTGTTGGGCACCCTTGGTCTTATGTCTCTCCTTAAATTAGAACCTAAATACCAATATTAAGATGGCAAAGTTTTAGTTGAAAATGGGTAAGCACACACTACTGAATGTGATGTGAATCATACACGGTTTGCCAAATACATAACTTGAGAGTATACAGGCATTTTCAAAGTCAAGTGACATCCAGAAATAATTGCATTGTGAATCTTGTATTAACTATATGAAGTAGTTTATACTTGGATTTTTACTCCTGTTTCCTAGTCCTGATTCTGTAATTCTCCTTTTATCACTACTCCACTCAGAAGATCACTTACTTTTATAAAAGATCTTTTTTGTTTTGTTACAGACTATTTTGTTACCAAACCCAGGATTTACAGTACAGAGAATTTTAGTTTTCATAAGAGAACTCATTGGTACTATTTCCATTGTTTGGGCCACTTCTGGCATTATCACTTCTGTTTGGAAGAAAAAAATTAGTGAGGGCCTCACTTGTCCAGTGCGAGCATTCTGCTAATGCCCTCTGCAAATTGCATGTGCATAGGTTTATACAAAATGCTTTATGTTGCAATAGTACGAAAGGTATTGAAAGGTGGCACAAAATAATATGTCTAGACTGAGTACCCAAGGGAAAATTTATTTTTCTCTTTGTAATAATTAGGCTCTTGAAATTTGCAAGGACAAAATACTCCTGAGTTACACTAGTAAAGAGATTATTTTATAGATACAATGGAATAGTTTATGTCAGGAGAATGTATATCCTCAGTAAAAAAAAAAAATAGAGGTATCAACTAAAAAATAGTATGATATTGAGTGTTCTGTCATGAGTCACCTAATATTCAGACCTTCAAAGAAAGGATCTTTTGGGATCCATTTGTCACTTTTCAGTATTGATCACCCTATTGATTAGAATTTTTCACGCAAAGTGGTTTTTTTTTCTGTAATAATTCAACAACCTATCATGTGTCAAACACTGTCCTCAGTTCTGAGTTTACTTTGTTTTTTTGAACTACACTGTACCTTCTTTTAGCTTACATTATAGTAATCTTTCATTTAAAAGAAATTTAGCCTTTTTGTAGCCAGCCCAAACACAACTGACTTTGGTTCAGGAAATAATAGCTAGGATAGGGCAATTGCTTTCACTTGACCCAAGTAGCAGTAGCTACTGCAACGTTATACAGACAAGGCCTCCTAGAGATTCTTTATTGGAAGGGGTTTTAACTTTATGAGCTCTATGAACGTAGCCGCAGGACACATTGCACCTTGGAACGATTTCCTCTGTGGTCTATCTTGCCCTCAGCCTTAAATGACAATCTAAGTGGAGTTGGGAGTGCATACAGCCCTTTTCTTAAAAATAATTGTGTCGTTTCTTTTATGCCTTGTTCTGACTTTTGTATTGGTCACAAACATCAGGTAACCTAAAAATACACAGTAAAAGTAAAAAATAAGCAGATTTAGTAATGGCAATCATGATTCATATTATTTTGCTGAAAAGAAAGGAAGACACACACTTTTTAAAAAATTAGAAAGTAAACTTGTATGCATTTAATTTCACCTTAACAGTTCTGTGTGATGGTTTCTGGAGGCATTACTGCTCCCATTTTACAGATGAATAAACAAGGTCACATATTTTGAAAGTGAGAGAGTAGAATTTAAACTCCAATTGTCTGGCTAGAAGCCTAGCTTTATTTCCATGTTACATTCCATCTCTCCTGAAACTGCCAATTTGATTCAGCAAATATTTATTAAATGCATGACTGAGTTTTATTTTCCCCATGCTACTTGACTGACTAGTGGTTGGAATTGATTGACATTAGTGGCAAATTCTACCAGGCAGTTTTCACAATAGAGAGGGCATAATTGTAAGTGATGCTGTTTACGCAACAACAGGCTTGCCAACCTTGCTCAAAACCCAGGGATAAGCACCCCTTTATAAAATCACACTCTAAATTATTTGAATAAATGACTTAATTATTACAGATATAATTTCTCTTCTCTTTTTAAATTTTATGGACACATAATAGTTTTATGGGCTATATATTTTGATACAAGCATACAATGTGTCATGACCAAGTCTGAGTAATTGAGATATCCATCACCTCAAACATTTATCATTACTTTGTTTTGGAAAAATTTCAATGCTTGAAACAACTGGAGGTAGCATAGATTAAAATACCCAGGAGGCTGGAGATAGCACTAATACAGTATGTCTCTGAAACCTCTAATCTTCACTTCTTCCCTTTCCACTAAGATCCTGAATTCTGTTGTATTCACTATTTGCCCCAGTGAAATTTCTTATTATCTATATCGTACATTTTAATTCACTCATTATTCTTTTAAATCACACTGCATTTAAATGATTTTTGAATATGCAATATATCTTACACACAGCATGACTTGTGATGGAGTGCTTTTCTACACCTCAAAGGCAACCCCCTTAGTTTTTCGCACAGTACTAGCACTCACTACATTTTAATAATAAAATTAAAACATCTCCAAGCAACAGAAATGCCCATTTTTGAAGTAATATAAAAAGGCCAAAATCTTAGTTCTCAATTCCCTTCTTTGCCACCGGAGTCTATTAATTTGGCTGATTAGATTCTAAACATGCGCACCCATGTTTCTAAGGAAAAAAACATGGAAAGAATTTGTAACCCTTTTAAAGAAAACATTCTACTTATTGATTCACTAAAATACTCCTTTTCCCAGAACACTTTCCCATGTTTGTTCTAAAGGAGAAACGCGGTACAAAGTCTTCAGGCAGAAATTAGAGAAAAATATGCTTCCACTGGGATCCATTGACTATACATTTGAATAATTCTGAAATGGGAAGAAAAGTGTTCATTATTATCCTAATGCTCAAGCGTTATGTTTCTTTCCTTCAGGGTTATAATAAGAGCTGTATCTTATGGGTCATGAAACAGTAGCCTGGTCTCAGAAATAGGCTTTCACAGGCTCGAGGCTGCATGTCCTTGAGGTAGAATTAGAGAAATTTTACACTTGACATAAAGAGAAAAATCTGGGAAAGCCAGTGGGTGTGGGTATTAAATGGGCAATATCCATCGAGCATTTTCTATGTCAGGCACAATCCCAATTGCTGAATATCCACTATATTATACAATCTACAAAAACCCTTGTGAGTTAGTTATTGTGCTCCTATTTTACGACTGAAGAAAATGTGTCTTGATAGTTTCAGTTATTGGGACATGAATATGGTCGCTCATTATAAGCTGTGTTCTACAAACTGTCTTAACACAAACTTTCCTGTCTGCCTGACCCACTGACCAAAGTTTATTCATCCCTTAGTTCACTTTCCTATTTGCATCTCTTCTCAGAAGTGCTGTAACTCATCCACATACTTGAAGTATTTAATCTCTTACTGTAATGGAACTGACTCAGAAACACAATGTACCTAATTTTTGTAATTTTTGATTTTGATATAATTTCAAACTTACAGAAAAGTTGCAAGTCGTTACCATCAGGGAAAACTGGGTGAAGAATATGCAAGATCTGGCTGTATTATTTCTTAAAATTGCATACGCATCTACAGTGCTTTCAAAATTAAAAGATTTTTAAAGTCATACATATATCCTCTGTATGTACATCTAACCCACAATCTACATTCAAATATTATCAATTTCACATATATTCTATGTATGGCTTTAAAATGTGTATATTTAATATGTATATATTATACATATATATGTACGACATTTAAAACTTTTAATATATACATATATTTTAATATATGTAATAACTTTTAACAATACATATATAATATATACATGATATACACATATAAACTTAATATGTGCAAATATATGTATTCTGATAAAAAATTGTATAAGGAGCTCATGTATAGATTTTGATCAGATTGACCAGTCATTTATATTCTGACCCACTGGTTTTATTCTCTGTCCTTGTCTCGCATATGTATATTATTTCTAATCTGTTTGACAGTAAGTTCAAAATATAATGTCTATTTACTTCTAAATACTTCAGTATCTGCAAACAATAAAAATATACTCTTAAATAATCATGGTACAGTTATCAACCTCAGAAAACTAAGAATTGATGCAATACTCTTATCTAACCCACAGTCTACATTTAAATATCATCAATTTCACTATTGATCTTTATTGATCTTCTTAATTATGTTTCTCTGGTCACAGCCTAGTCCAGGATTATACATGACTTTTACTTGGTTTTCTTTAATCTGGGACAGTTACGTAGCTTTTTTTTTTTTTCTGACCTGGGCTATTTCGACAAACACATGTCAATTATTTAGCAGAATTGCCCTTGGTTTTGGTCTGGTATTTACTTGTAATGAGATTTGGATTATACATTTTGACAGAAGTATGACATAAGTGAATTTGTGTCTATCTCAATGTGACATAGTAGTAGGTACATGATGTTCATTCATCCCTATATTGGTATATTGGTGATATTAGTTTTAATCACTTGGTTAATTGGTGTCCTTCACTATAAGATCACTATTTTCCCTTTGTAATTAATGTAATGTATGAAGAGATATTAATTTTTGGTTGAGATGATGTAAATACATCTGTCTCTCCTCAAACTCATACGCTAATTTTAGCATCAATGACTAATTTTCTAATTCCATCCTTTCTTCTATAACTATTAGATTGATAGCACTCCACTGTAAGAGAACATTTTTCCTTCTTCATTTATTTATTATTGTTATTTATTTATATTTTTATGGACTCAGGAATTGTTGTTTTATTCATTAGATTATAATCCTTTACTAGCATTATTTTGAGGGCCCAATTGTCTCAGATTTAATCAATGCAAGTGCTTACAAGCTGGCTCCTGTTTCCTCTCAACATGCCCAGGATTCTTCAAGTGTCTGTCACTTTCTGGTTCAAGAAGCTAATGTGCACTATCTTTTAATGGGCTCTGTCAGACTTCCTCTAGTTACCCTGGAAATATCATCTCTCTATTGCCCTCTTGTCTCATTTTGCTACTTAATGGACACTTTGGAAAAGCACCCACCCCCTGGACTCGTCTCTCTCTCAGTATTTGAATTTAAATATATTCCCAGGTGATTAAATCATGTGAAATGGCAGACTAGTTACCGAATCAAATCTTCTCTGTTCTGTGTGCACTCTAAAAATGGGAATGTCAGCATTTGGACAGTTCCTCAAATGTCTAATGTGCGTGCTTGCTTCCATAGCCTCCCCTGGTGACAGATGTGGTGCTGTTTGGCTGAGAAATGAGTTATAAAACGAGAAATGAGTGGAGTAGAGCCTGCACACCTCCAGCAACATACAGGTAGAAGGAAACTTGAGCAGCTTCAGACGACAACATCGTAAAGCCAAAGAGTTAAGAAGGTCCTAAGGACTCCCACACAACCAGTCACTGATTTAAGGGCCGTAAGAAAAGTGTATCCTTATATCTGACATTTGTCTCTTAATCACTATGACTTTAGGAAAGTCATTCAACATCTCTGATTTTCAGGTTTTTTAATTGTATTATTATTATTATCATTATTATTTGTTGAGATAGAGTCTCACTCAATATCCCAAGCTGGAGTTCAGTGGCGTGATCTTGGTTCACTGCAACCTCTGCCTCCTGGGCTCAATTGATTCTCATGCCTCAGCCTACCGAGTAGCTGGGACTACAGGCACACACCACCACGCCCAGCTAATTTTTTGTATTTTAGTGGACACGGGGTTTCACCATGTTGCCCATGTTGGTCTCAAACTCCTGAGATCAGGTGATCCACCCACCTCGGCCTCCCAAAGTGCTGAGATTACAGGCGTGAGCCAACACGCCCGGCTGATTTTCAGTTTTTTCATCTGCAAAAAAATGGCAAATGTGACACTGCCCTGTCCAATTTAAAGAGGTTTTAATGGGAATGTGATTCTAAAGATAAATAGTATCTTGCTAAAACACATGTTCAATTATTTGAGTTTCTGTTAATATTCACTTTGCTGAGTTAAATGTACAACATACACATTGTGTAGGCTTGTCTAGAAAAATGTGCAACAAAATGGCATAGCTATCAACTGTATGTAACTTGCAAAAATGTATCAATTTCTTTATATGACAGAGGAGATCACCACAATGATATGTAGAATAAAACTATGTCAGCATCTCTTCCAGCACCCAGAACCCAGTGTTTTAAGACTGCAGCCGGAAGAGGAACTCAGTACTGCTATGCTTCATGATTATTGTTCTGCCTCCTGGCTGTTTACCTACAACTGTTTTCATCAAGAGAAGAGCTGACTGGAATTGGATTCTCACAGGCCAATATAAAGGAAGCTTATTGAGTAGAATTCAGTCCCTGATGCCTCAGACATTGATGCTATCTACCTTGTCCAGGATACATCATACACATGGTGACCAGGATGGAAGGGGTGGTTTTACTCAGTCATTGTAGCAGGGGCCATATAACCTATGCAGTAACAACTTTTTGGATTCACTTTTCTCATAGGGAAACAGAGCACAAATGGAGCATTATGGTGTGTGAAAAACATCAGGGTGTCACTCTATGTTGGTTCATCAGCATAGAAAAATGTTTCCCAGAAGACAACAGATAGAATCCACTATCCTGCCAAGCTCCTTGGCTCTGATTTGTGCCTTATTTTAATTATCTCCTCTCTAACAACTCTCTTCTTGAAACTGAAATAACTTTACTGCTGGATATTGCACCATCAGGTTAGTTGATTATGAATTGTTAATAACACAGCAATGGGAGGACCAATAACAAGTGCATTTACCGTGCCTACTAAATATTTACTGTTGGATGTAACCAGCTATCTCAACTCATGCCATATAGCAGGTGCTCAATAGATACAGGATTATTTTATCTCTTTAATACATCTAGTTTTACATATGTGCCTTAACTAAGATGATGTTTTCTAGAATCTGAAAAAAGTCAAGTCAGCAGAAATAATTTGATTCTGATACAGTATGGGTTTCCTGAATTGATCTTGTGATGTGAATTAAGAAAGCCAGAATTCTGAAAATTATTTTCTACAGCCAACTACTTACTGCAAAATGTTGTTGACAATCTCATTAAATGATACAAAGATTCCCTAAAGGTGCACTGAAGGATTCCTGCTATCTGACCTCAATTGTGAGCAGCAGAAGTAAAACATAGCTGTAATTCATTTGCTACATATTCCAAGCTAATGAGAATAATGACCAAAAGGAAGTATTTAAGTCAAGCAGCATGCCAATGGCCAAGTTCCAGGGCAACATGCATCCCCATCACTAGATTAGTCTCGAATCATGAAGAGCCATACATAAACTCTGGAAGCTAATAAGCTACCCACCTTTCACCTCAAACATCATTAATCCCTCGGTTTTATCCACTTTTAAGAACAGCATTTGAAATAGAATGCCTGCAGTAAGAAAGCACATGTTTGTCTATGTAAGGTAGAAAATATGTTGATACAAATTTTTATTAAATTATTAATATTAATTATAACGTGAATGATATAAAGTAATAACATTCATATTTTTGAAATGTCAAGCGAAGTTTTTTCCATAAATGAACCTGCTGCTCAAGGATATAATCTTCACATTTATGATCTTCTTTCATTAGTAAAAATAAATATATGTATAAAGTGTTAACATTCTTATACATAGTTACATATGAGGGAATGTGACATATTATATAATGAATGATTTGTCAACATTAGATTTAAATATCCCTACTAATGGTGATATGGTAAGCTAAATCTTTTTCATGGTATGTAGGTCAAAGCCCATAATGTCTAAAGTCAAAGCAATGTATCAAAGTAAAATTGAAGAAACTAAGTTTAGTCATTTATTACCAATACATTGAAGACTTATAGAAAATAACATCTTTGTGAAAGCAGAATAACATCACTTTTGCTTTATTACATTTCTGTTTAAGATTTCTAAGCTTACAGCTAATTCATTGCAACTGATTTTTACGCAAATGATATCTATTTTTAGATATTTCCATCAAGCTGCAATGAGACTTTATATTGGGGGAGTGATGATTAAAACAGTATATATATACACACATACATATATATACATTATATATATGTGTACGTATATGTATACGTACATATATGTATATATGTGTACATACATATATGTATATATGTGTACGTATAAGTACATATATATAATTTTCAAATATAACCTAAATTTGCTAATTTTTATGCAAGTGCTAACAGTAACTAATGTGTTTTCTCTGTGTTTACCATTCTGCCATTTAAATGAAGAAGGCATATGCTTGCTCTCCATAAGAAAATGGGCATGAATGTAGTTTTTATGTCCTTACCCAAGGCTTTTTAGTTGGAAAGGGTAAATATCTTCAGGCATTCTCTTAATTAAAAAAAAAAATCAGCTTTCCACAAATGCCAAAAAGCTGTATCAGTGGCAAGGTAGTCTTGATGATCCTTGGAAAAGCTGAGATTTAATTCTTGGCAACGGGAGGAAGGTCATGCTAGAGTTACCCTTTTCATGTAGAAATACAAACAACAAGCGTAGAGCAACCAATGCAGTTTCCAGTAAGCACTGCAAGATTCAATCATTGAAGGCTCAACACTATCAAATTGAAGTATTCGTGTTCCCAAAACAAGATATTGTCATTGAGCTTTAAGGCTTAACATTGAGATAACATACATGGAACATATGCATTCCTGAGAATGGATTATAGTGCATAGATAAGAAAAATGCATTCTACTTAAGTGCCAAGATGATAATGAACATTCAGGACTTAGAATAGCTTTGAATCAGAGAGCTAAAGATGCATTGTCTCCTAATGGTGCCTTTGCTTCTGTCTTGCTTTTCCACACTAGTGCATTATTCACACAGAAGCCAGATAAACCATTTTAAGACAAGAATCAGTGCATGTCATTACCTTTGCTTTGGAATTTTTTTATGAGTGATTTCTTCTGCATGGGACACTCTTCCCAAGTCACTCATGGAGTTTACCCTCTCATTGCCATTCTAGTCTCTGCTCTTATGTCACCTCCTTTAAAAGGCTGTCCCAGAACACCTTAAGAGCAAATATACCTGTTTACTCTATTCTTCTTAGCACTCTTCAGTCCCAGATACTTTAGTATTTGTTTGCTTATTTGCATGAAAATAAGCACTTTGTCCATCTTGGTCACTGTATTCCCGAACCCAGAACAGGAGCTAGCACATCCTGGATAATTAATAAAAAATTGTTGAATAAATGAATAAATAGATGGTCACAACAGACTGATCTGAAAACATAAAACTCGCTAATGGCTCAAGTCAGTCTAAAGTTGAAACAGTTCATGAATGCTTGGATTTGAGAGACAATTGGAAAATACTTCCAATTTGTTAGACCAGTTCATGCTACTAAGGAAACAAAAATCTCTGCAAACTTTTCTTTTCCCTAGTCATCCTTTTCAGTGTATTTTTTAAAAGAAAACAAAGAGCATAAATATGTGAAGACCAGAACTATCTCATGAAAAATAACTAACTTTTCAAGGGTTTTTTTTCCCCTGTTGTTGCTGTTTATTGTTTGTTTTTCTGTTTTCATGGTTTCCTTCTCATTCCTGAGCCAGAATGCCTTTATAACAGAAGTAAATTTGTGAACGTCGAGTTTCTTTTCCTAAGGATTACTTGCATTTTGAACATGATCTCTTACTGCAGAAAAGAAAGGTTTTCTCCCTTGTCAAAGAATTCCTTGTCATAATTAGACAGCAATCTTCTTGTATATTTCATTCCTCCCTGTCTATCCCCTTGTTGGAGCACACTGCCTCATATAGAATCCTTGCTCAAGAAATACGAGCTTTTGATGTTGTTGAATGAATTATTCAAGACTTAGGTGCAAGGCATATATACTAGCAGTTTCTGGGATGAGAAGAGGAGAAGGAGGGATAACCTGGAAAAACACCTTGCCACCAACACAATGTAGGGCCATGAAAACTCATTAGGTCAAAAAATTTTGACTCCAGAAGTATAACGGGAGGGGAGTTTCAGGGTTCAAGGGAATTCTTAAAGTAAGGTACTTTCTAGGCATCAACATAAATGCTTGCAAAATTGGAGGTTTCAGTATTGAGATTCGGCCTCATTGGAAAAGATATTCTTTGAAGGAAGCCAGAAGAAACAGCTTCATATTAAGAATATAAACTGTACAGAATGAGGGAAGACAAAGTTAGAACAAGAAACTTTATTCATGAGTATCAGGTCCAAAGATAAGGCAATTCCATGTTTGGAAGAAATGAGAGTTTCAGATTAGGCTTGGCCATGGCAGTGAGATAATGGATGGTGGAAAGATGATGGGTTTCCTAGAAAGTGGCACTAGAGATCTGAAGAAGGGAGAGGCCAGAATGTTTTAAAGGCCTGTGCATGGCAGACTTAGCCACAGTTCGGTAATTAGTACCTGTTTGACCCACAAGTTGGGAAGAACATATGTAAAACATGGACTGTGTGAGTCTCAGAACCCTAGGCACTCCATCAGTGGCCATGGAAAGTATTCCATTAACAAGCAGAAGACTGGGGATATCTGGAGAAGAGTCTAGATCTGAAAAAGAAGGCCTAGACAAGCAGATCTGGAAACATAGGTTGGGAGTTAAGAAAGTTTATATTAAATACAAATACCTGGGCGTCGTGGCTCACACCTGTAATCCCAGAACTTTGGGAGGCCGAGGTGGGTGGATAACTTGAGGTCAGGAGTTCGAGACCAGCCTGACCAACATGGTGAAACATCAGCTCTACTACAAATACAAAAATCAGCCAGGTGTGGTAGCGCATGCCTATAATCCCAGCTGCTTGGGAGGCTGAGGCATGAGAATCACTTGAACCCGGGAGGCAGAGGTTGCAATGAGCCAAGATCGCACCACAGCACTCCAGCCCATGCAACAGAGCAAGATCCTGTCTCAGTAATAAGGATCCCAATAAAACTATAGAGCAGAGCTGCCCAATATACCTTTCCCAATGAAGCAAATATTCTATATCTGTATTCACCACATGTGACTGGTGTAACAGCCACACGTGGTTAGTGGCTACCACATGGAACATCACAGCTATGGTGACTTTAGGTCCATGAGCTGATTAGACAGACCACATCTGGGGTATGAATGGGGCAAAGCATTGTAGGATTGGTTAGGAGAATGCTTTAATTTTCAGCAATACATATGTGTTTATTCATATTAGTATTATTTTATGTCTAGGTTAATCTGGGAACTTGAAAGGATCTAAGCCTTTAGGGACACCACTGCATAAGTGTTTTGGAGATCTGGGGTGGAGTCAGAAGGGGGAAATGGTAACCAACAACACACTAGACTATGAGCTCTCTGAAATCAGAAACTTTGTTTTGGTTTCGTTTTTGTTTTTCACTGCTATATTTGCAGCATCTACAAGCTAGGCACTTAATCGATCTTTATTTAAATAATGAACGAAAAGGCATCGTGTCTGATATCCAGCATCAATGACCTGGTGGAGATGGAGTGTTGGAATCTGTGATGACTTTCTGTTGGCCCTACAAAAACTTGGACCACCAATGGGGGCATCCGTTTCCTCTTTGCATAAACTTGATTCTGGTTACTCTGGTATTTTATTATTACTAAGGAAAAATAACAATAATTGCTATTGCATGGGGAAGATTTGACAGTCTTGACAAGATTGATAAAGGAGGGCTTGCTTTCAAAGGAATAATATGCTTCCTTACCTACTTTCCAGAGGTGTGGTGAGAATTTATAAATATTTGGTCCTTAAAGGCTCACAAAATTCCTTGTTAAATGCCACTAGACTCTGTCACAGAAGATGATTCTTTGACTGTTTAGTGGATGTAGTTCTGTCAGCAAAGAGGCAGATACTCACTGTGGAAGGGTCATTTGTACTTTTTGTGTCTTTTTAATGCTCGTTTCCTTTTTCCTGACTACAAAAACTTGGATGTTAATTAAAAACAGAAATCTTTTAAAGCAGAAAAGTTTCATGGGAAAATAAACAGAAACTTCAAATCAATTCCATATAATTATATATATGGATATGTATCTATAATCTGTATCTTCCTATCTCCAGGTCTCCACAGACTCATACACACATTCATATGAATTTTTAACATTTTTTTCTATTTTCTAGGAGTATTTTTGAGCGTTTTGTGTGCATTCAACAAAACAAAAATGTTTAACAGTTTTGTATCCCACTTTTTTGCCTGTTATCATGATGGTGGATAAACTTCTAAAACATGAGAATTAGTTGGTGCACATCAATTCCTTATAGGAATATTCTATATTTTGGGTTGTCTTTATTTTTCACACTATGATAAATTTTGATGCAATAATCATCATTTTACACCAGTATTTGTCCGTCTCTCTTCTTTTTCAAATTTAAGATAAATTTCTAAAAAGTGAAACTGTTGGAGCAAAGGGTAAATTTTGCAAACCATTATGGAGTAAGGCTACCCCATTCACACTCTCATTAAAAATGTATAAAACTGTTATAAAAGTCATTCCTTCTAGTATTGAATTATATTTTAAAAATCTATTGCAATGTGATAAGTGAAAACTCGATATTGCTTTAATCTGCATTACTGATTACTTGTAATGCTGATCTTTTCAACACATTTTCTGGCCTCTGTAAATTGTTCATATTGAATGCTCACTTTTATATTGAGGCATTTTTGCAAAATTCTTAAGAACTTTTTACAAGGTAAAAATATATACTACAAAAATGTCTTAGTTTACTCTTTGCTTCACATATTTATTTTTGTTTTTAGTCAATACATTTTGTATCATATATCTAATACAGTGATCTTTGTATGCTTTCCATTGGTTTATTTTAATTTTTGTCTTTAAATTTTTCTTGTACAAAAAAATTATTTCTATCACTGTAAAATACTGAAAAACAAAAAAAAGCAGAAATCCACCTTGACCTTCACTTAATTCTTCTTACCATAGCCACCTTCAAAAAATATATTTTTGTTAGCTCTTAAGGTATCACTGCAGATATGATCTACCTATTTAAAAATTTATGGGGGAGGAGCCAAGATGGCCGAATAGGAACAGCTCCAGTCTACAGCTCCCAGCATGAGCGACGCAGAAGATGGGTGATTTCTGCATTTCCATCTGAGGTACCGGGTTCATCTCACTAGGGAGTGCCAGACAGTGGGCACAGGTCAGTGGGTGCGCGCACCGTGCGCGAGCTGAAGCAGGGCGAGGCATTGGATCACTCGGGAAGCGCAAGGGGTCAGGAAGTTCCCTTTCCGAGTCAAAGAAAGGGGTGATGGACGCACCTGGAAAATCGGGTCACCACCACCCGAATACTGCGCTATTCCGACGGGCTTAAAAAACGGCGCACCACGAGATTATATCCCACACCTGGCTCGGAGGGTCCTACGCCCACAGAGTCTTGCTGATTGCTAGCACAGCAGTCTGAGATCAAACTGCAAGGCGGCAGTGAGGCTGGGGGAGGGGCGGCCACCATTGCCCAGGCTTGCTTAGGTAAACAAAGCAGCCTGGAAGCTCAAACTGGGTGGAGCCCACCACACCTCAAGGAGGCCTACCTGCCTCTGTAGGCTCCACCTCTGGGGGCAGGGCACAGACAAACAAAAAGACAGCAGTAACCTCTGCAGACTTAAATGTCCCTGTCTGACAGCTTTGAAGAGAGCAGTGGTTCTCCCAGCACGCAGCTGGAGATCTGAGAACGGGCAGACTGCCTCCTCAAGTGGGTCCCTGACCCCTGACCCCCGAGCAGCCTAAATGGGAGGCACCCCCCAGCAGGGGCACACTGACACCTCACACGGCAGGGTATTCCCACAGACCTGCAGCTGAGGGTCCTGTCTGTTAGAAGGAAAACTAACAAACAGAAAGGACATCCACACCAAAAACCCATCTGTACATCACCATCATCAAAGACTAAAAGTAGATAAAACCACAAAGATGGGGAAAAAACAGAACAGAAAAACTGGAAACTCTAAAAAGCAGAGCGCCTCTCCTCCTCCAAAGGAACGCAGTTCCTCACCAGCAATGGAACAAAGCTGGATGGAGAATGACTTTGACGAGCTGAGAGGAGAAGGCTTCGGACGATCAAATTACTCTGAGCTACGGGAGAACATTCAAACCAAAGGCAAAGTAGTTGAAAACTTTGAAAAAAATTTAGAAGAATGTATAACTAGAATAACCAATACAGAGAAGTGCTTAAAGGAGCTGATGGAGCAGAAAACCAAGGCTCGAGAACTACGTGAAGAATGCAGAAGCCTCAGGAGCCGATGCGATCAACTGGAAGAAAGGGTATCAGCAATGGAAGATGAAATGAATGAAATGAAGCGAGAAGGGAAGTTTAGAGAAAAAAGAATAAAAAGAAATGAGCAAAGCCTCCAAGAAATATGGGACTATGTGAAAAGACCAAATCTACGTCTGACTGGTGTACCTGAAAGTGATGGGGAGAATGGAACCAAGTTGGAAAACACTCTGCAGGATATTATCCAGGAGAACTTCCCCAATCTAGCAAGGCAGGCCAACGTTCAGATTCAGGAAATACAGAGAACACCACAAAGATACTCCTCGAGAAGAGCAACTCCAAGACACATAATTGTCAGATTCACCAAAGTTGAAATGAGGAAAAAATGTTAAGGGCAGCCAGAGAGAAAGGTTGGGTTACCCTCAAAGGGAAGCCCATCAGACTAACAGCTGATCTCTCGGCAGAAACCCTACAAGCCAGAAGAGAGTGGGGGCCAATATTCAACATTCTTAAAGAAAAGAATTTTCAATCCAGAATTTCATATCCAGCCAAACTAAGCTTCATAAGTGAAGGAGAAATAAAATACTTTACAGACAAACAAATGCTGAGAGATTTTGTCACCACCAGGCCTGCCCTAAAACAGCTCCTGAAGGAAGCACTAAACATGGAAAGGAACAATTGGTACCAGCCGCTGCAAAATCATGCCAAAATGTAAAGACCATCGAGACTAGGAAGAAACTGCATCAACTAACGAGCAAAATAACCAGCTAACATCATAATGACAGGATCAAATTCACACATAACAATATTAACTTTAAATGTAAATGGACTAAATGCTCCAATTAAAAGACACAGACTGGCAAATTGGATAGAGTCAAGATCCATCAGTGTGCTGTATTCAGGAAACCCATCTCATGTGCAGACACACACACAGGCTCAAAATAAAAGGATCGAGGAAGATCTACCAAGCAAATGCAAAACAAAAAAAGGCAGGGGTTGCAATCCTAGTCTCTGATAAAACAGACTTTAAACCAACAAAGATCAAAAGAGACAAAGAAGGCCATTACATAACGGTAAACGGATTAATTCAACAAGAAGAGCTAACTAACCTAAATATATATGCACCCAATACAGGAGCACCCAGATTCATAAAGCAAGTCCTGAGTGACCTACAAAGAGACTTAGACTCCCACACAATAATAATGGGAGACTTTAACACCCCACTGTCAACATTAGACAGATCAATGAGACAGAAAGTCAACAAGGATACCCAGGAATTGAACTCAGCTCTGCACCAAGCGGACCTAATAGACATCTACAGAACTCTCCACCCCAAATCAACAGAATATACATTTTTTTCAGCACCACACCACACCTATTCCAAAATTGACCACATACTTGGAAGTAAAGCTCTCCTCAGCAAATGCAAAAGAACAGAAATTATAACAAACTATCTCTCAGACCACAGTGCAATCAAACTAGAACTCAGGATTAAGAATCTCACTCAAAACCGCTCAACTACATGGAAACTGAACAACTTGCTCCTGAATGACTACTGGGTACATAACGAAATGAAGGCAGAAATAAAGATGTTCTTTGAAACCAACGAGAACAAAGACACAACATACCAGAATCTCTGGGACACATTCAAAGCAGTGTGTAGAGGGAAATTTATAGCACTAAATGCCCACAAGAGAAAGCAGGAAAGATCTAAAATTGACACCCTAACATCACAATTAAAAGAACTAGAAAAGCAAGAGAAAACACATTCAAAAGCTAGCAGAAGGCATGAAATAACTAAAATCAGAGCGGAACTGAAGGAAATAGAGACACAAAAAACCCTTCAAAAAATTAATGAATCCAGGAGCTGGTTTTTTGAAAGGATCAACAAAATTGATAGACCGCTAGCAAGACTAATAAAGAAAAAAAGAGAGAAGAATCAAATAGACGCAATAAAAAATGATAAAGGGGATATCACCACCGATCCCACAGAAATACAAACTAACATCAGAGAATACTACAAACACCTCTACGCAAATACACTAGAAAATCTAGAAGAAATGGATAAATTCCTCGACACATACACCCTCCCAAGACTAAACCAGGAAGAAGTTGAATCTCTGAATAGACCAATAACAGGATCTGAAATTGCGGCAATAATCAATAGCTTACCAACCAAAAAGAGTCCAGGACCAGATGGATTCACAGCCGAATTCTACCAGAGGTACAAGGAGGAACTGGTAGCATTCCTTCTGAAACTATTCCAATCAATAGAAAAAGAGGGAATCCTCCCTAACTCATTTTATGAGGCCAGCATCATTCTGATACCAAAGCCAGGCAGAGACACAACCAAAAAAGAGAATTTTAGACCAATATCCTTGATAAACATTGATGCAAAAATCCTCAATAAAATACTGGCAAAATGAATCCAGCAGCACATCAAAAAGCTTATCCACCATGATCAAGTGGGCTTCATCCCTGGGATGCAAGGCTGGTTCAATATACGCAAATCAATAAATGTAATCCAGCATATAAACAGAGCCAAAGACAAAAACCACATGATTATCTCAATAGATGCAGAAAAAGCCTTTGACAAAATTCAACAACCCTTCATGCTAAAAACTCTCAATAAATTAGGTATTGATGGGACGTATTTCAAAATAATAAGAGCTATCTATGACAAACCCCCAGCCAATATCATACTGAATGGGCAGAAACTGGAAGCATTCCCTTTGAAAACTGGCACAAGACAGGGATGCCCTCTCTCACCACTCCTATTCAACATAGTGGTGGAAGTTCTGGCCAGAGCAATTAGGCAGGAGAAGGAAATAAAGGGTATTCAATTAGGAAAAGAAGAAGTCAAATTATCTCTGTTTGCAGATGACATGATTGTATATCTAGAAAACCCCATTGTCTCAGCCCCAAATCTCCTTAAGCTGATAAGCAACTTCAGCAAAGTCTCAGGATACAAAATCAATGTACAAAAATCACAAGCATTCTTATACACCAAAAACAGACAAACAGAGAGCCAAATCATGAGTGAACTCCCATTCACAATTGCTTCAAAAAGAATAAAATACCTAGGAATCCAACTTACAAGGGATGTGAAGGACCTCTTCAAGGAGAACTAAAAACCACTGCTCAACGAAATAAAAGAGGATACAAACAAATGGAAGAACATTCCATGCTCATGGGTAGGAAGAATCAATATCGTGAAAATGGCCATACTGCCCAAGGTAATTTACAGATTCAATGCCATCCCCATCAAGCTACCAATGCCTTTCTTCACAGAATTGGAAAAAACTACTTTAAAGTTCATATGGAACCAAAAAAGAGCCCGCATTGCCAAGTCAATCCTAAGCCAAAAGAACAAAGCTGGAGGCATCACACTACCTGACTTCAAACTATACTACAAGGCTACAGTAGCCAAAACAGCATGGTACTGGTACCAAAACAGAGATATGGATCAATGGAACAGAACAGAGCCCTCAGAAATAACGCCACATATCTACAACTATCTGATCTTTGACAAACCTGAGAGAAACAAGCAATGGGGAAAGGATTCCCTATTTAATAAATGGTGCTGGGAAAACTGGCTAGCCATATGTAGAAAGCTGAAGCTGGATCCCTTTCTTACACGTTATACAAAAATCAATTCAAGATGGATTAAAGACTTAAACGTTAGACCTAAAACCATAAAAACCCTAGAAGAAAACCTAGGCATTACCATTCAGGACATAGGCATGGGCAAGGACTTCATGTCTAAAACACCAAAAGCAATGGCAACAAAAGCCAAAATTGACAAATGGGATCTAATTAAACTGAAGAGCTTCTGCACAGCAAAAGAAACTACCATCAGAGTGAACAGGAAACCTACAGAATGGGAGAAAATTTTCGCAACCTACTCATCTGACAAAGGGCTAATATCCAGAATCTACAATGAACTTCAACAAATTTAGAAGAAAAAAACAACCCCATCAAAAAGTGGGCGAAGGACATGAACAGACACTTCTCAAAAGAAGACATTTATGCAGTCAAAAAACACATGAAAAAATGCTCATCATCACTGGCCATCAGAGAAATGCAAATCAAAACCACAATGAGATACTATCTCACACCAGTTAGAATGGCAATCATTAAAAAGTCAGGAAACAACAGGTGCTGGAGAGATGTGGAGAAATAGGAACACTTTTACACTGTTGGTGGGACTGTAAACTAGTTCAACCATTGTGGAAGTCAGTGTGGCGATTCCTCAGGGATCTAGAACTAGAAATACCATTTGACCCAGCCATCCCATTACTGGGTATATACCCAAAGGACTATAAATCATGCTGCTATAAAGACACATGCACACGTATGTTTATTGCGGCATTATTCACAATAGCAAAGACTTGGAACCAACCCAAATGTCCAACAATGATAGACTGGATTAAGAAAATGTGG